>NC_000011.10:34453939-34605454 GCF_000001405.40 Homo sapiens | reverse complement strand
AGTATACCAAGGTTTTTATTAAAAATAAGCACTCACAGGGAACATGGTGGGTGCCTGCCTGCATCACCCTTCCCAATACTCGTAGAACACAGAATCTGGTCTCAACAATGTAAGGTCTGACTCCACCTCCCTCATGTCAGCATGATTGCTCAGTGGGAGAATTGAAGCAAGCAGGTTCTCATTTAGAAGACAGCAAAGAAAATGTTCCAGAATCAGGCTTTGGGCACTCTCTCTCACAACAGCCCAAAGCATATGAAAAGTCATGGGGCCACCATCAGGCATCCCCTTTGCAATTTATAATCGGCCCAGCCGTTTCCCTGTGCAGAGGGCACGCAGTTCAGAGTCCTGCCCATCCATGACCTCATCTGATCCTCACAGCAACACGTGCACCCAAGGAATGGGAATAAGTTGAAGGTGGGACAGGCTGTAGGTTGGGTCACCAGAGTTCTCAAAACTAAGTGGGTGAGTGGGCTTGAGTACAGAACGAAGGCATTCGATCACCAGTCGGACCCTCTGACTTTATATTCCGCTTCTCAGTCTAAAAAGAGTCCACGTAGTCAATAAATATGTGAACACCTACTATATTCCAAGTACTGTTCCAGAGTCTAGGAATAAAGCAATGAACAGATTTTTAAAAGACAAAACAAAACCAAAAACTCTGCCCTTGTGGAGTTTACATTCTGGTGCTGCGGTATTTATAAGCCACTTTCAGTAACATGGTTTTAGATAATAGGTGAACCTGGAATTAATCAATATTGAATCACATCATGAGAAATGTGTGCCCTTTCCAATTCTCTTAATTCAATCCTTCACAGACTTTAGAGGAGGTCTCAGTTGGCTGATATCACCCTTCAGTGAAAGGAGCATAGGCTGCAGGATCCAATGAGAAGTTAATTCCAGCCTTGGGTTTCATCCTATTTATTAACAGTTACCTTCTAGGTGTAGCCAGGGTTGCTAATTTTCCATTAAAGGTAGTGATATTATTGCCTTGTAAATAAATGCACATTCTTTAATAAGTGAGTCATTAAAAAAAAAGACCTAAGAGTCTAATAGGACAAGTGGTAAATGAATATAGCAAAACACTGGATGTTTAGAAGGCTTGAACTAGGTGGGGCCCTCAGCCTAGAAATAGCCAAGGGCACTTCTGCTTCTAAAGACCCAGAAAAACTAAGGTTGCCTCACTTTTAGAGTGGGATAATCTAAAGGTTCACTGCTTCTTTTCTTTGAGACAGAGTCTCTCTCTGTTGCCCCAGCCGGAGTGCAGTGGTGTGATCTCCGCTCACTTGCAGCCTCTGCCTCCTGGGTTTGAGAAATTCTCATGCCTCACCCTCCCGAGTAGCTGGGATTGCAGTGCACCGCCACACCCAGCTAATTTTTACATTTTTTTTAGTAGAGACAGGGTTTCGTCATGTTGGCCACGCTAAACTCGAATTCCCAATCTCAGGTGATCCACCTGCCTTGGCCTCCTAAAGCGCTGGGATTACAGGTGTGAACCACTGCGCCCAGCCACACTGCCTGATATTTTAATTAATCCCACCCCTGTCACCTTCATCTCTCCACCCACTCTCCAGCAGCCACTGCACTCAGTGCACACCATCTCCAGGAGGGACACCACGAGGGCTAAGCCTGGAGCCTGACAGCAAACACCCTACCCTTCCTCCTAGCCGCCAAGGATTTCTCTCTCTTATCTCAATCCCCACACTTTCCCCGAAGGCAAAGGTCACTGCAGGAAGCTCCCCAAAGTTAATTAGCCCTCATTCTCGGAAGCCAACAGCCTCCTACTCTAAATAAGGAAGAGCCGTCCAGTCCCTTTGAACCCGCGTTCTCCTTAGGTAAATGGGTTCTGCACAAGCTCATTATCAGAATCACCTGGGAGCTTTACCAAACTACAGGTGCCTCGCTGCCTACGACCAATTTGCTGAATCAGTCATTTCAAGATGGTGCCCGGAAAGCTGTATTTTGTGCCCCTTTGGAGAGTCCAATGTTCAGCCAGATTTAGAAGCTGATATGCTTCATTGGAAACAACTTCTCCATAGGCTCTTTATTTGGCCAAGTAACAACCACAATTATCTTATCAAGGCAGGAAGTGTCGTTTAGTACACAGGCTTTGGAGTTGAGCAAACCTGGATTCAAATCCTGGGCCCACCACAAGGAAGTGACCGAGTGGCCTCAGGTTAGCTGCTTAACAACCCTGTGCCTCAGTTGCCCCAGCTATAAAATGGGGGTATCAATGGCACCCACTCATCATCAGGTTGTTTGAAGGATTCCATAATCTAATGTGAGCAAAATGCTCTATGCACTGGCTTGGAGTAAAAGCGAAAAAAATACCAGCCATAGTTAATGTGGATTGGTTTTATCTTGGTAACCAAAGGAGACTCAAAGTGGTTTGCAGGGAAGACAAGAGGAGAAGGGGACAGAGAAAAGTGAGAGGGAAGGCAAGCTGAAATAATTTTTGATGTTCAGATCTTATTTGCCCCTTTCCCTTTAACAAGTGAGGCTCTAAGGCCAGAGGCCAGGATTCTAGGTCATTCCTCACCCCTTTCCCCACCTTGTGATCTAGAGATCCCACACTGGATAGGTGGCCAAAGTTGCTGAGTGACACACAGATGTGGGGCAGACATTCGCCAAGAGAAATCATCTGAGTGGACCATTGAGAAGGGCAAGCGAGGACCCCTGTGTAATGTTAGTATTAAGGGAGCTTGGGAAGGCCCTACTCTTCCCTGACACACAGCAGATAATCCCGTCTCCCCTCCACTAGCATACTTCTTTTCTTCATTTGGAAATGGAGGGCTCTTTCCTTGTGGTGGATGATCGGTTCACTCACTCATTTACTGGTTCCCTCATTCAGCAGATCCCCACTGATTGCCTGCTGGGCACCTCATCCTGTTCACATAGAATATGCTGCTGGGGCCGGACATCTCTGGCTTGCCTCCCGGTTTTACCGATTAGGAACCTGGGACCCAAGAAGGTGAAATGACTCAGCCACAGTCTCGCAGCCGGCAGGTGGTAGCACTGGATTTAGATCCAAGTGTCCTGACTTGCACTCCACACACTGCCTGCATGAAGGGCATGGCCAAGTTCTATAAGGAAATTTGTCTCTTCACCTCCATCATTCACCTGGCACAATGTCTGGAGCTCGCTAATTGTTGGCAGGTGGAATGAATAGTTTGAAAGCTAAATCTGAGAATGATTGTGAAACTAACACAAGAACAGAAAACCAAACACCGCATTCTCACTCATAAGTGGGAGTTGAACAATGAGAACACATGGACACAGGGAGGGGAATATCACACACCGGGGCCTGTTGATGGGTGCAGCAAGCCACCATGGCACATATATACCTATGTAACAAACCTGCATGTTCTGCGCATGTACCCCAGAACTCAAAGTATAATAAAAAAAAAAAAAAAGAAAATTAAATCTGTACTGAGCACAGAGCCATATAATGTGAAAAGGGCAGTGTTTCTCTAACTGTAATGTGTACACCAATCACCTGAGATCTTGTTAAAATCATGGTGCTAATTTGGGGAGTTTGGGGTCAGCTGGGGATTCTATAGTCCTAGCAAGCTTCCAGGTGTGGCTGACATTGCCAGTACCAGACCAGAACCTGAACAATGGACAGCACACTTTGAAGCCAGAGCGCCCAGATTCGAAGTCCAAATTTGCTACTTATCGGCCGTGCAGCCTTGAGCCAGTTATTTAAACTGACTGTGCCTTGGTTTTCTTGCCTGTAAAAAGAAGGGTGGTGATGATAATGGAGTACCTGCTTTACAGGGCCATTGGGAGATTCAAGTCAGGTAATAAGTGTTAAGCACTTTGTCTAGTGTCACTTGCGCATACAAGGCACTCAGAGGGCAGAAGGTGGAAGGAGAGCCTTCCTTGAAGTAAGGCAGCCTTCTTGCTTTCTGCCCCAGACCCCACCCCAGAAAAGTCAACGTATTCTTCTCCGGGATACAGCTAGTCTTGATCCAAACCATCAGACCACCCTTGAACAGCTCCTGAAAACAAAAAGGATGAGCTCACTCTAGCCAAAATAATCATCAGATCAGCCCAGAATGTGACCCCAGCCCCAGCTGTTGCACAGCTACGTGAGCCCAGCAGATGAAAATGTTCCAGCAGGCAGATGTGGCAGGGTGCTGCTTTACAGAGTTGAAGTTCCAGCTGGCAGTCGTTTAGATTTGTTTCCCCTAAAAGCCTCTTTCCTTGAGCACACTGACAGCAGAGACCCTGTCTGATTTATCTTGGATCTCTGCACCCTGCACAGAGCTGGCATAGTAAATGGGCCAAGCTGAATTCCAGGCCCAGACCTTAGAGATAAGGGAAGGGCTCCTTGAAAACTGCTCCTGTTTGTCTTCAGGGCTGAGGCATGGCTGAAGGAAAGGGCCCTAGGAGGAAAGGGGCAGCGGCTGCCACTGGACCTCAGCCTGGGATACTGCAGCCCCTTAGAGACTGTATGTCAGCTCTCTCCAGTGAACAAACTCAGTTTGATCGCCAGTTTCTCTGCGCGGGCCAGGTTCTGGCGTGTGCAGGCAGGGAAGCACTAACCTCTGGGTTGGGCATTTTCTCAATTGTTTCATTCTCTCTCTCTTATCTCCAGCTAGTTAGTGATTAACTGCTCTTTGAAAGTTTCCCAGCCTCCCCCGAGCTCCCCAAGAGCACAGGTGGCCACTGGGTTGGAGCAGAAGAACCTGACTGAGGGCCCAGTTCTCTTTGCAGGACAGGGAGGACCCAGAGGCACAGCCACTGGGTCATGGGCCCAGTGGGGTAAGGCCAAGAGGTTTGGCGCTGTGCTGCCTGCCAGGGGTTACTGGGAGGGCATCAGAGAGGCATGTCTGCAGGCGCCGGTTCCTTGGAAGTCTGTGGGTGAGTGGGTGGGGGTGGAGAGGGACAGAGGATACAACCAGGATCTGGGAGAGAGAGAGAAGCTTGACATTATCTCCCCACCACCAGGGGCTTTCTGTACAAACCCTCACCCGGGGCAGCTTTCATCAGATAACACCTACACTTACAGACAGCCCCCATACGTTGGAGCAACCACCTCCCACAGCTTTTTCTAGTAAGCCCCACCCCAGCTGAACCACAAAGGAGACCAGGTAGAAGAAGCAGCTGACTTGGTCAAGGAAGCACCATCCAGAACCTTCCAGGAGTCGCTGAACCCTTTCCTTTCAGAGTGTGGGCCTCTCCTTCATCTTTTCCTTTCTTTAACCCTGGGATTTTTTATTAGAGGTTTATAATTCCACAGAGGGACTTTCAGGGAGACCTGTAAACCTCTAAAAAATACAAACAATATGCAATATATGTTTTGGCTGAGTGTAGAAGCCCATCCTAGAAAAATGTACTTAGATATGTATTGGATTTTCAGCCCCTGCCCGCCTTCCTGTCTTGCTGCCTCTTCTGTGGGTTGCTCCCTCTCCTTCCTGGAAGCCCCTCTCTCTTCTGCCTGCCCTGTCACTGACCTAGGCTCTTGGCTGGCTCAGGGGAGAAGCAAATAAAAGAATGATAGTGGTCGGGGTTGGACAAGTGACAGTGGAAAGGAGGGATCATATTTGGAAACTGCTCTCCCCCTGTGGTCGCTTCAAGACAGGAGCAGGAAAAACCCGGGCAGGAGGCTTGATTAGAAACTAACCCCAGATGAACTCTCTGTCTGGTATTTCCGGTAGGGGGTAATGACACTTGCTTTTGTGGCTGGTTTGTGAAAAAGAATGGGTCTCCTCATAAAGGAGAAGAAAGAGATAATCTTATGAGTACTAGCCCTGGGAATTCAAAGACAGATGATGGGGAGGTGGGGCAGGAAGAGATTAATTTCAGAAGAATTATGACTATGGCTTCTCGACCTCTTGGCTAAGATCGAGTGCAGAAGAAGTATGACTGATGCATTAGTAAAGGCAACCAGAAGAGGACTGGGCAGCGTGCTCTGTTTGTTTTTGATGGCACCATATTGGCTAAAGGCTTTCTATCCTTTTGTGCCTTCGCCAGGTTTGTTAGAATGGCTTCCAGCGGCAACTACCAATAACTCCTAGGGGACCACCTCAAGACTGAAGGTGAGGCAAAGACTGTGGACTATGAAGCACCTCTTTGTAGCCCAAGTTGCAAGAGGAGCCTAGCAAAGGAAATCAGATGGCAGCAACGCAGAAGAAGCACATGGACGAATCCTCAGAACCCATAGTAGAAGAAACATTTGGGTTGGGTGGATTACCCTGACTTTCAGATATGATCTTCCCCTTCCAGAGGTTGAACAGGACCTTTCTAAAAATTTCCCATCTGCAACTTCAGTTGGCAAAGTGCCTTTGTTTCTTCCAGGGCTGAGTGGCCATTTTTACACCAGTAAAATTCAGAAAAAACAGATGTTTATACAACTGATTTCTTTTTCATTCAAGTGAAAATTACTTTATGTAGGTGAATCCCAGAGTGAAAGAAATACATATTCTTACAACTCAAATTCACTGCTAAAAAAAAGAAAGCACAGAAGGAAGTCAATAAAAAATGAGCATCATTAAACACATAAAAAGATGCTCAATCGGCCAGGTGCAGTGGCTCGTGCCTGTAATCCCAGCACTTTGGGAGCCGAGGCAGGCAGATCACTTGAGGTCAGGAGTTTGAGACCAGCCTGACCAACATGGTGAAACCCTGTCTTTACTAAAAATACAAAACTTAGCCAGGCATGGTGGTGCATGCCTGTAATCCCATCTACTTGGGAGGCTGAAGCAGGAGAATCACTTGAACCCGGGAGGCGGAGGTTGCAGTGAGCCAAGATAGCACCATTGCACTCCAGCCTGGGCAACAAGAGCAAAACTCCATCTCAAAAAAAAAAAAAAAAAAAAAAAAAAATGACACTCAACCTCACTGATCATCAGAAACACTAACACATGAGAAGCCACTGCATTTCCTTCAAATTGGCAAAATTAAAAAATCTGATGATAATAATTGTTGGCCAGGATGTGATGAGGAAGGAATTCCAACCCACTGCTTGTTCAGGAGTGTTGATTGTTATAAATACTTTGGAGAGTGATTTGTTAATATCTAGAAAAGAGGAAGATGCACGTGCCCATAATCCAGCAAATATAAGCCCATGGAAACTTTACTGCATGCTCACATGTACAAGGATATTCAATGCATCACTACTTGTCAAATGAACATTTGGAAGCAAAGTAAGTGCACCTCAGTAGGAGAATGGATACACACATTGTGCCAGCCATCACCATTTGTTATTTCATTTATTCTTTTATTCATTTTTCATTAAATATATTTCCATGAGTTTGTATTATTATACTATGTAGAGAATCACCTGGGAAGATTGTGAAAAGGGCCGAATTCCTGGTCCTACCCTCAGAGAGATTGAGTCTGGGAATGAGTCCAAGAAATGGGGCTCTTTTCTAAGTGCATGTGATACAACTGCATGTGGTCCTGGGTCACACCATATATAACCATTCATTCTGCCATTGGATTTCAAGTTGGATTACAAAACTTGCAGGGCTATGTGTGGCCCCTGTACTCATCCCTTACTGGGAAGGAGGCCTGGATTGCTGGAACATGGGAGCCTGAGAAACTTCTGGATCCTCAAGCATCAGGCCCAGAGGAAGACAGCAGAAGAGGAGATAAGGGGGTACAGTGAAGGGGAAAGGATAGGGAATGGGTCTGAGGGCAAAGAGGCCTAGAACAGCACATCTTCTGATCTTTTGCCCAGACACAAGTCTACCCACAGATCTTTGTTAACAAAATTTGTCTTGGAACTAAGAAAGCTACCCTCCTCTCTCCTGTCCCTCAGTAACACTTAATGATTCAACTCAACAGTTTTTTGTTTTTTTTTTAAGTCCCAAAGGCTAAGGTTCTAGATCTGGGTCACTTCCCACACATGACCAAGATTCGTGAGAAAAGAGATGACATTGAATCAAGCTTTTATCTGAACCTTTGGTCTATTTTTCCTTGTCCACAGAAGTAGGGAAGTAAGTATTCATAGGGAATTTAGCCAACCTTTGTCCAAACAGTTTAACACCAGTCACATAATTAATCAGATAGTCTGGCTTTTATAGCTATATCTAATATGCATGTATTAATTTTTTTCAAGGCCTTAGAATCTTTTATCTATATTCAATTGAGAAATGGTCTCTAAGCGTAACTTAATGTTTGTTTGATGAAGATGCTTTGGGAGTACACAGGAACCATGAAGAAATTTAAGGAACTGGAAGTCCCAGTTAATAGAGAGTCCTGGTTAATGCAGTGCTGATAAACAGAGAGTTGCTGTATATAGAGGTGGTGCTGTGGGCTTGTTTGGAAAACTGTTCACTTACTGGGCAGCTTACTTACCCTCACTTACTTAACCTGAAGGGAGAGAATCATAGAAGTGAGAAATGGAAGGAAAAATTAAGCCATCCTCTGTTTGACCCTCTTGTTGTATGCAAGGAGACTCTGTTCTGTAGAGGAGAAATGCTCCCCTGAGTTCAGCCAGTGAGGTGCCTGCAAGGACTGGAGAAAGAAAATGAGAAGCCAGGGTATTTCTCTGCTCCCTCTCTGCCCTGAGCATGCCTCCAGCAGCTACTACATTTCCTCCATGGCCCCAGCGCCCTCCAGACAAGCCCATCAGGGATTCCGGGAACACTATCTCCTCCCTTTCTCTTTTCAGCCTATGAATACTAGTGACTTTCTGCTCTTATTAACCTTTGAGCTATCTCTTTATCCCCTCTTTGGCATTGCAGCTTTTCTAACACTGGTGTGACCCATTCCCTGCATTAAATTCCCTCTGTTGAAGACACTTAGGTTTCTTCCTGATTAGACTCCAACTGATAGAGGAGGTGACTGGTCTTTACTTTCCAGACCATATTCATTTTACAGAAGAAAGAACAGATTTCTAGAAGTTCAAGTAACATGCCAATGTTGCACAGCTACCGAGCTAGCAACCAGTTGTCTCGTGGCCGGTGTTAATTTTCCTACAGTATTCTGGCTCTTCTCTCTCTCCCGTAGTCCCTACCAGCAAAGACATTCTTTCTGGGTCAAACTAAGGATTCATTTGCGTCTCATTTGCACATGATGAAAAGGTGCTATAACTACGCAAAGTGCACATCCAAAGGAGTTCAAGGGAGTATTCATTTCTATTTTGGTCTTTATAAGAATATTTTGCATTTGAGTCAACAAAGCTTTGTCAGCATTCTGTAAATCCTAGGGCAGCATTTCTCAAAGTCACAATTCCCTAAAGGGCATGAGGGTGCACATCTTAGTCCATTTACGCTGCCACAAAAGAATGTCATAGACTAGGCTACAAGCAACGGAAATTTATTATTCAGAATTCTAGAGGCTGGGAAGTCCAAGAGCAAGGCACCAGCAGATTCAGCGTCTGGTGAGGGCCCACTTCCTAGTTCATAGATGCCATCTTCTCACCGTGACCTCACATGGCAGAAGGGACAAGGGGGCATTCTGGGGTCTCTTTTATTAGGTCAGTAATCACATTTATGAGGGCTTCATCGTTATCACCTAATCACCTCCCAAAGCCACCTGGTATCATCACAGTGGAGGTTTAAATGTCAACATATGAATGAGGGGGGAACACAAAAATTAATTCTATAGTAGGGGATACTTTGGTAAAAACACAGATTTCCTGAACCCACTACCACCTACTGAAATAGAAAAATCTGGGGATGGGAACTGAGTGTATTTTTAGCTAGCAACACAGATAACTAGTATTAATAACTAGCAACCTGGATAACTAGTATTAATAACTAGCAACCTGGATAATTCTTATGAAAACAAGTTTTGAGGGCCACTGTTCCATTATGTAGAAAAACATTGTCCGTGTACACACAGAAGAAGGAAGGATCAGGAAGGTGACTAGAGAGCTGGCTTCTGGCCAGTCAAATAAAGGTCCAGCTCCTCTGGCTTCCATCCCCAGTCAGAGGTACCACTTACTAACACCCTGCTACGTGTCAGGCTTAGCACTATACATTGCAGGTACCTGGTTTTATGTACTCTTTACAGCAATCCTGTGAAGTGGCTACTATAATTTCCATTTAACAGACAAGATATCTGATTCTCAGATTAAATAACTGTCTCTGGATCACCCAGCAATGAGCCAAATTCCAACCAAGTTCTGCTTGACTCCAATGTCAGACTCTTCTCTATTCAGGTTGCCCCTTCCAGAACGGAGCCTGCTTCATCCCCAGATGATCAATGCAAACAATGATACGCTGAGTTGGCTCTGTGTGGTGTGTCCTAATCCTGTGCTCTGGGCAATCTGGTGTTTCCTTTCTGCTTGTTCTTGAACGAGACATTGGTGTATCTGCAAAGGGGACAGGTGAATGGTATTCCAATTCCCCCTCCTGAGACAGCCCCTGATGGGATGAGATCCTGCAAATGGAGCTGCCGGTGGTTTCTTGATTGTCCTTCCTAGTTTTCCCAGGAGCTCTTGGGAGCTCTTCTGCCCCTGCACTTGGCTCAGAAGCTTCCGGTTTTGCCCCAAACCAGTGGGAACCAATCAGAAAGCCTGAAGCGGCAGATGTCTGCACTAATCCATACAGGGAGGACCTGAGGGAAGCAACTAAGTTTTTGTTCTTATCACAAATGTTTAAAAAATCAACAACATGAACGGGCAAGTGTGCCACCACACAGTGCTTGACATCTGGATGATCTTGCATCATCTGAGCTGCCTTTTCTTTCTTTCTGACACATTGCTTTACGTGCCTGATCACCATTCTTTTGTTGACATTGCTGTTTGGATCAGCCAGCTGATGACACAGCCAGATAGAAACTGGCTGAGGCAGGGGTAGGGGTAGGGGATTCTCTGATCAAGCTGATCATTCAAAGGGTTGCAGAGAGGGCCACTGGCCTATTAAAAAAAAAAGTCCTACACTCCCCACATCTTTAGTGTTTTTCTTTTATGCTTCCCAACAGTTTGGGATCCCAACCTGCATGTTCATGTCTCAGTAGGCATTTGCCATGTATGTGAGGCTGCCTGGCTAGCTTTAGACAGCACAGGTTGAGTTCAAATCTCAGGTCAATCACTCACTAATTCTGTCTTCATACGTATGCTAAATAACCTCTCTGAACCTCAGTTCACTCATCAGTAAAACAGAGACAATAATAACATACTAAACTTTTAGAGCTGCTGGAGGAGAAATACTTAATTTCATATAAAGTAGTTATCACAGCACCTAGCTTGACAAGTATTTCTTGAATTCCTTCTACATGCCAGACACTATTCAAGGCACTGGAGATAATTGTGGTGTACAAATAAAACAGAGTCCCTGCCCTCAGAGAGCTTATACATTAGTTAGGGAGGCAGACAGTAAACAAATGGGTACGTTTATAGTATACTGTCACTTAGTGATATGTGATATAAAGCATGGTGAGATGATGGAGAATGGCAGAGGGGAGACGGAATGCTGGTTATTGGATAAGGTGGTCAGAGAACCCTCTGTAGAAATCACATTTGAAGAGATGGGATGAGGGATTAAAAGATGAGGGATTAAAACAGATGGGTATATGGGAAGAAGAGCATTCCAAACAGCAGGCAGAGCAGGTGCAAAGGCCCTGAGGCTAGGGCAGCTTTCCTTATTTAAGGGACAGTATGGAGGCCAGTGAGCACAGTGAGCCATGGGAAGAATGGGGTAGTTGAGGTTGAGGAAGAAGCCAAAAGTTGAAGTATAAGTGAGATGCAAGTAGGTAAGTTAACAGGCAGGTAGGTAAGACTAAAATCATTCACTTAGTCATAGTGTCTTTATATCTTGGGTGGAAGTCTGCTAGATACCATGAGAGACACAGAGATGAACAAGACAGAGGATTTATCTTTGATAAGCCTTGAACCATTAGTTTAGTAGAGGAGAAAAGTATCTAAATAATGAGATAATAAAATAATAGACACCATGAAAGAAATATGGGTAAGTCCTAAAAGCACCTGAAAGAAAGTTTTTGTCTCTCATAGCCAGTCCCTCCACCAGAAACGTGGAAAGATTAATAAAAGAGAAGGTATTTACATAAAGACTGTAAAACAACAGTGCTCACTATGCTCAAAGAGATGAACTTGAACTAAAAACGTTTTGGCAATCAGCTGAAACAAAATCATTGCAAATTTGAGGAAGAACCAAATAGGAATGAGAATTTTAACATTTAAAAACCCAATAAAAAATGAAAAAGTCATTCAGATAGGTTTAATAGCAAATTCAACACAGGTAAAGAGATAATTAATGAACTGGAAGGTAGATTAGAAGAAACTACCCAGAATGAATAAGAAAGAGATAAAACAATGGAAAATATAAAGGTGAGAAAAATACAATGAGCAGACTTAACATATTTCTAGGAGTCCTAGAAAGAGAAGTTAGAAGAACAGCAAAGTCATCTCCTAAAAATATGGAAAAAAGGAAGTACAAAAATCAGAGCAAAAATTAATGAAACAAAAAAATACAATAGACAAGATTTAAAAGGTAACAATTTTTACCTTTTAAATGATAAAATTGATAAACTTCTGCTGAGACAGATGAAGACAAAAAATGGGAAAGGCACAGATAACTCATGTCAGTAATGAAAAAGAGAACATCTGTGGAGAAAGGAGAACCCTTGTACACTGTTGGGAGTGTATGTTAGTACTGCCATCATGAAAAACTATTTGAAAGTTACTTTAAAAACTAAAACTAGATTATCATATGACCAAGTAACTCCACTTCTGGGTGTTTATCCAAATATTGAAATCAGATTGTCTAAGACATGTCCTTACTCCCATGTTCACTGCAGCACTATTTACACTAGCCAAGTTATGGAATCAACCTAAGTGTCTATCAATGGATGAATGGATAAATAAAATGTAGTATATACATGCAATGGGATAATTCAGCCTTTAAACAGAAGGAAATTCTATCATTTGCAACAACATCACTGAAACTGGAGAACATCATGCTAAGTAAAATAAGCCAGACACAGAAAGACAAACACCACATGTTCTCACTTACATGTGGAATCTCAAGCAATCAAATCCATAGAAGCAGAGAGTAGAATGGTAGTTACAGGGGCTGTGGGTGAGGGGAATGAAGGAGTGATGGCCAAAGGGTACAAAATCTCAGACGGGAGGAATAAGTCTTTTTTTGAGATTTATTGCACACCATGATAAATATACAGCTGCTTCTCAAATTATGATGGAGTTATATCTGGATGAGCCCATTGATATTTTCAACTTACTATGGGTTTATCCAGACATAATCCCAACATAAGTCATAGAGCATACTGAATGCATATTCCTTTCACATTATTGTAAAGTTGAAAAGTGATAATTCAAATCATCATAAGAAGTCAGGAACCACCTGTAGATAATAATAGTGTACTGTGCATTTTTAAATTGTGAAAAAAAGTGAATTTCAAATGTTTTCACCACAAAAAATGATGAGTATTTAAGGTGATGGATATATTAATTTGCTAGATTTAATTATTCCACATTGCTTTCATAAATCATAACATTGTTTTGTGCCCCATAAGTATACGCAATTATAAATTGTCAATTTATAAGCAAAAATAACATTATTACATGTGTTGCAGACATTAGAAAGATAATTAGAAGATATTATAAACAACTCTGTGAATTAATTTATAAATTTTGATAAAATAGACAAATTCCTAGGAAAACACTACTTACTAAAATTAACAAAAGAAGAAATAAAAAATCCTAATAATCCTATAACTATTAAAATCATTGATTTAATAAAAAATCAACCTGTCATAAAATGTTAAGATTTGATGGCTCAAGCAAATTTTATGAGATAAAGAAGATATAATGCCACACTTATGCAAACTCTTCCAGAAAATAGAAAAAATGAGACTCCCTATGTTATTTTGTGAGGCTTGAGTAATCTTGATACCAAAACCCAATATGAACAGTATGTGAAGGAAAATCACAAGCCAATTTTATTCTTGAACATAGGCTCAACAATTCTAAATAAAATATTAACAGGCCAACACCAGCAATATATATTTAAAAATACATCATGTCCAAATTTGGCTTACTTGAGGGTGCCAGTGTAAAAATTGCTTTAACTTTGGAATATCAGTGTAATTTACCAACTTAACAGATCAATTGGGGAAAAGTCATATAGTCATTTCAATACATGCAGAGACAAGCATTTGTTAAAATTCAACATCCACTCATTAATGGATTAAAAGTCTTAGAAACTAGAAAAAAGAAAACATGCAGGTAATCTGGTGAAGAGCTGCTACAATAAAACCTATAACAACCAGATTGTTTAAAACAAAACTCTGAAAATTTTCCTTTCGAGGCTGTGTACAGAACAGGGATGCTCACTATCACGACATCTATTCAACAGTGTCTAGGGACCCCACATGGGAAATGCAAGAAAGAGAAATAAAGACATAAGAAACAGAAAGGAAAAAATTGAAGTGTCATTTTTGTGGATTATGTTATTACCTACATAGAAAATCTATGGGAAGCTGTGGATAATTTTTAGAATTTAAGAAAGTTTCATAAGGTTACTCAATAAAGTCAATACAGAAACATGAATTAAATTTCTATATACTAAACACATATATTTGTAAAATGAAAAATATATAGCAATAACATTTACACTAGCATCTTAAAAATATCCAAAACCTAGGGGGAAATCTATCAAAAGATGTGCAAGAACTTTGCGCAAAACATTACAAAACACTCGAGAGAAATTAAAGAAGACCTGGAGTAAAAGAGAGAAATTCTATGTTAGTGGCTTGGAGCACTCCCTAATTTAAATGTCAGCTCTCTCTAAATGAAGCTATGGATTCAATAAAAGTCTCAGCAGGATTTTTAAAGAACTTAACTAGCATTTTCTAAAGTTTATATGGGATTGCCAAGGTTCCAAACTAGCCAAGACCTTCTTGAAGAAGAAATGGGGTAAGAGGACTTGCTCTACCAGGTATAGAGTCTGCTTATCTTACTGCAGTAATTAAGACTGTCATTTTCATTCAAAGATAGTTAGATGGAAGTGCACGTCACTAGCATTTTCCTGTATCTGGGTATTCCCTCCTTCCAGGCAAATCGCAAACAGCACGTCACAACCTTTTGCAGGTGGGTGGAACTCTGACTGGTTCTGACAAATAGGCTGTAACAAGAAGGGAATGATGGGTGATGCTTTCATTCTGGGTCGATGAAAACCTCATGGACCATTTCCAGTCTCTCTCCCCTGGATGGAGAGTACTTCCAATGGTGCAGACACTTCACCTTGCAAAGGGCGGTTGGCCTGATGCATCTCCTGCATCAGAAGTGAACTGCCAATGGAAAACAAAAATGACTTTAGTGTATTCATCAGTGAGATGTTGGGGTTCTTTGTTACCTGAAACAAAGCACAGCCTGTCTGATCCTGTTCAACTTATAGACAGACCAATAGACTCCAAGAGTGCCCAGAAAGAGATCTACCCATGTATGAACAATTGATTTTTCAACAAAAAGTGAAACTGCAAAGTAGTGGAGAAAGGACAGCCTTGGTCCAACTGAATATTCATTTGAGAGAAAAAAGTAGAACTTGTCTCTACTGCATGCCATACACAGAAATCAATTCTAGGTGGGTTATTAACCTTATTTGAAGGGCAAAACTGTATAAAGCTTTAGAAGAAAATATGAGAGAATTCTTTATGACTCAGGAAATGATTTCCTAAATAAGAAACAAGAATCATTAACCATAAAGGAAAAAATAGTTCAATTGTATTCTATTAAATTTCACAAGAAAAAAAAGTTTTGTTATAAAAGGAAATAACAAAGTGAATACCTAAATTTTAATAATTGTTATCTCTGGGTGATTACAGGCTGAATTTATTTTTCTGATTTTGCTTATCTCTTTTTTCCAATTATTCTCTGACGAATATGGATCTCTTTTGTAATTTAAAAAAAAAGAAAAAGAAAAAACTAGAAAGTTGTTAGTTTTTGTTTATGTTTGTAATTAAGAAGAGGTGGTAATCCCAGCACTTTGGGAGGCCAAGGCGGACGGATCATGAGGTCAAGACCATCCTGGCTAACACGGTGAAACCCTGTCTCCACTAAAAATACAAAAAAAAATAGCTGGGAGTGGTGGCAGGTGCCTGTAGTCCCAGCTACTCGGGAGGCTGAAGCACGAGAATGATGTGAACCCAGGAAGCAGAGCTTGCAGTGAGCTGAGATCGCATCACTGCACTCCAGCCTGGGTGACAGAGCAAGACTCTATCTCAAAAAAAAAAAAAAAAAGAGGCGCTGCAAAGTGAAGATGTGGAATAAGAGTCTTCCAGACTTTACTCTTTCTTGGTTGCTAACCCAAAAGGAAAAAAATCCTAATGGTGGGATTTCAGGCAGTGAGGAAGGCGGATGTAGGTGGGATTTGTTGGTCATTGTGGCCTTTTTCCATTCAGGCACTAGAACACCATCCAGGCATTCTGCTATCCCTTGTTTAAAACCTTTCTGCTGCAGATTCACAATCTCTACTTCTAGAGGGAGATGCCCTTGAGAGGTCTTCTCCCCTCTCCCTTTTCCATTTATAGTCTTCTTTCTTAGATAGAAATACATTTTGACTCAAGTGTCTTTCATAGGGCTTAACAGACCTGGACATGTGGCACCAGTGGCCCTGCCCCACGTGGCTGTCCATCTGGTCTCCCAGTGACAGACACTGGAGCCCTCTCTCTTCCTTTGGTCACACCACGCCAGGACCTTTGTAGAATGTTTATTAGGCACACGTTTGACTCTGAGCAGCTTGAATATAAAGGACTCTTAAGATCTAAAGCGCAAGCAAAGAGACTTATTTTGGCTCTTGGTCTTTATAGTTATATTGGCTCTTATTTATTTCTTAAACATTTATTGGGCACAGGTAGTAAACTCATCATAGACCATGGCTCCTGAAGCCCTGATAATTTAATACCTGATTTCTGGAGTCTGGGGAAACATGGAAGGTGTCCTGTAGGATGAGGCAAATTAGCTGTCAATAGGCAGAAATGGCCAGCCATAGAGAAAAGTGGGCTTTAAATGGGTTTAGATATTCAAAAGTGCCTCATGATGGTCAGAAAGAAGTCTCTGGAGTAAGGATGGGCATTAGTAGCCCCTATACTCATCTCCACCATTAGTCTTTATTGAATACTTACTATGTGCCAGAGACTGCTGGCCAGGTACTTTACATACATCATCTCATTTAATACTCACAGCAATCTTGGAACATATATGATATTATCCCCTTTTGGAAGATGAGGAAATTGAGACTCAGAAAAGGTTAGGTAATTTGCCCAAGGTCACATGGTTAGAAGGGGGTGGTGTTGAGCCAGGAATCCAGTCTGTCAGACTGGAAATCCTTATCTCTTTTTCTGACAGTAACTACTGCTCTGGGCAATGACCGTCATTTGTCTACATCTTCACAAGATATTTCCATTTCCATTTCATGCACTTTTGAGGTAAAACAGGATCATTGATTTATGAAGACTGTTTTTATCTGACATCCATTTCTTCAGGACGACTTTCTGCACTGCAGACATTTGCCCCCTGTGATGATGGGGTCCTTGCTACAACATGCTGTCACAAGGTCTAAATGAGATCGTGCATATAAAACATGTCGCTCAGAGCATGACACAGAGGAGACTCTCAACACACTAGCTTCCATTAGGACTGTCGCTCCCTCGGTCCCAGCACTGCCTGTTCCTCTTTACCTTTGCAGGTAGTGGGGAAAATATACAAGGAGACCTAGATTCTGAGTGTTTCTTGGACACGGGTGCTGGCAGCTTTGTGCAGGAGTATCTCTCAACATCCCTGGAGTCAACATTCTGAATGTCCTGTGTGATGCTGATATCACCAACTCTGTAGACCCTGAGCCTGCTCACTATCACTGAGCCTTCACGTCAAAACAGGAAAATGATGAGAGGTGACTGGTGCTCCGGTAAGAAACTCCGATAAGTTTCTGCATCAGATCCTGTACATGAGAAAAACTGTCATGAAGAGGCAGCACAGCATAGAAGCTAGAAGATCAAATCTGGAATTACGCAAATCAGGGTGTGAATATTGGCTCTGCTCCTTCCAGCTCTGTGACCTGGGGCAAGTTACCTAACCTCTCTGAGTCTCTGTTGCAGCTGTAAAGCAGAAATAGTAATAACTATTTCACAGCTTTATTAGCAAAAGTGCATGATATAGTGATGTTAAGTGCTTAACACAGAGCCTGGTCCACAGGAAACACTAAACAAATGTTTGTTGTTATTATATCGTTGTTAAAAGCAAAAAAAAAAATAAAATAAAATAAAAACCTGCTATGAGACTTGTTTTGCAGATTAATAAGCAATTACTTTAAATGACTTTTCTCCCCAACTAGCTAAGTCTGCTGTTTGATAGGTTTGAACGAATCAGTCAGCTGTTGAAGTCTCACTGAGCGCATGCAGCATGCCCTGGTGTGTATAGATGCAGGGGCTTGGCAGGCCCGGAGGCCAACAGGCTTAACAAGGTGCGCTAGCTGAACACAGCAAGATGAGATGATTGAAAAGTCTACTTGAAATGTTTAAATACAAAGTAACTTGGCAAGGAGATAGAATCAGGACAGCTGACCTGCTCTAGGCCTCAATTTCCCCATCTGCACAAGAAAAGGGCTGGACTTTATGTCGCTTTCTTGCGTCTCTGACCTTTATGAGCGAAAGAGTCTGATTCTGCCAGGACCATTTTAGCTGCCCTATGAGTGCATCTGGCAATTCCTAGTTCTGCATGGTCTGGTAAAACTTGGCATCTGATGCCCCTCTATAAGTCAGAGTTTTGCAGGGCTCATGCAGGCCCACCAGCTAGGGCACATCTCCCCCACCCCCAAGCCTCCTGAGGACACGCCAATTCCAACATCTCCCACCTCCCACCATACGCAATCACAGGAGACATCATTCCAACTGGAGTTCCCAGTCCACGAAGAAAAGAGAGATCTTCTCTAAACAGGGTCCTGTCTGTTTCCAGCATAAACCACCTGAGATGTTCAGAAGGAGAGTTCTTTCTTTCCTCCACAGCTTCGGAAAATCATTCTTTTGCACGTTCAGAGGGGGAAAAGTTGGCAACAAAACTTGACTTTTTACCAGAATGAAAACTTTCTTTGGGGTTAAGGAAACATTGCCATCTGGTGGCATAATATAGAAATAACTGGACAGAGTGATGAGTTTCTAACCCACAAAAGATGAAGTCACACAATTCCAATCAGAAAGAACTAGAAGGGTCCTTAAAGCTTAGATCCAATGCTTTTACTTTACTGAGTAACGGAACTATTGTATAGAGATGGCTTGTGAATTTCAAGACTAGAACTCAGATCTTCTCAACTTTATGTAATTCAGCTGTCTCTCATCTCCACAACTCACTCCACACCCCAACATATACACACCTCATACTTAGGACTGAAATGCTTTAATAATTCAGGCTGGCAGGACCACGATCGTTTTCATCCTGCATGTGCCCTCGTGCTTTTTATCAACATCATGGGAGGCAGAAGAGGGAGATCAGAGGCACTTTCAACTAGCAACCAGCTACAGGGTTTACAAAGATAAGGAGGAGGCCTATCAGAAGCCAGAGGAAGAAAGAATGGATTGATTAGGGAACTGAAACTTCTGTTTCATGTTTCCAGCTCAGGAGGCAGTGGGGCTTGCATTAACTCTCTAAACCAGCAAGAGCTATTTGAGCTAACAGTAGGGGATGCCTTCTGTTTGGGGATTTTGGATCCTGAAGATAGTAAGTTCAGTGACTTGAGTATAAAAACCCTCATTATTTATGCAAAGTGTGAAAATCTATTATTGTGTAAATTGAGCCACGTAATTATAGGCATAGTCATTTCCACCTCTTATATTTGCATATTGCTTTGCAGTTCACTACATGCTTCAACATATTTAAAATTATTTAATCTTTATAAACACCCTATGGTGGGAATTATTACTCATTAGTAATGAGGAAATAGAGGTTTGGAAAAGTTAAGCAACTTTCCTGAAGTCACAGCACTATCAATGGCAGCACTAGGACTTGAAAGAAGGGAGGAAACTTAATATTTAATCTACTCTGGGGCAGGTGAGATACAAAGTGCTTCCAAGGAAGCTATCAGTGGCTTCTCCCCTTGGGGAGTAGCAAAAGATCAATCACTCATTCTTTGTTCTTCCAACTTGACCACTGTAGAGACACCCAGTCTTCCTGCAGCTACCCTATCCAATTGTTATTTGCTTGACTGTAGGACGTACCAAAAAGCCATATGACATTCATGTTAATTTAAATTTGACTTGGAGAAATTTTTCCAAATATTACAATATCCTCTGAGGCACAACAGGACTCAGCCAGCAGTCCACCAGCCTGGGTCCTTGAGGCTGTTCGAAGGGCTTTTCACCCAGTCACCACCTGAACTATTTCCAAATAGCCCTTTTGTAATGCTCTGACAAAGAGGATTCTCTGTGTCTCCTTTCCTGGGTCCTCACCTCTGAGCATCAGGGCCTAAAGCCCAGTCCTCAGACCACTACTCTTTTGGATCTAATCTTTCTATAAGGGGGGTCACCTGGTCTCATGCCTTTAAATGCCATGTGGACACAGATGATTCATATACTGATACCCAGAACCCCAGCCTCTCCCTCTGCACTCCCAACTCATATGTGCAGCTGTCTACTCAACATCTGCATGGCAATATCTAAGGCCCATATCCAAACTCCTGGTTTTCTCCAACCCCTAAGTCATCCTTTCACAACCTCTCCCATCATAGTAAGTGGAAATTCCATTCTTCCAGTTTCTCAGGTCAAAAACTTTGGCATCATCCGTGAGTCCCTCTTTTCCTCTCATGAGCCAATCCATCTGTAAATCCTGTCAGCTCTGCCTTCACAGAATTTTCTACTTCTCATCCTCCATCGCTACCTGGCCACCTTCACCTGGACAACTGCAATAGCCTCTGACCTGGTCTCCTTGTACAGCAACTAGAGTGTTTCAAGACGTAAGTCAGAACATAACACTCTCTTGCTCAAAACCTTCCAAGGGCTTGACATCTTGCCCCGGTTGCTCCATGATCTAGCCCATTCCCCTCTCTAACTTGATCTCCTACCATTCTTCCCCTGTTCCCCCCTCTTTACCATATTGCTGCTTTCTGTCTCACCCACTCAACATGTAAGAAACTAAAGAACAGGGGTTTCATTCCATTCCATGCTGTAACCCAGGGCCTAAACAAAGTCTGGAGCATGGATGAGGCTCAATACATCTTTCCTGAAACACAAACGCCTTTTCCTTCAGCCTGGGTTGTTCCTTGATATCATCGATCCAGAGCCTGATGTAACTGCCTCCTACTGCATTTTCACCGTGGACCTTCTTACACTGTGCCCCGTGGTGAGGGAGTCCTGTGAGCCCCAGGGTCTTCACACCACCTTTCACACTCCCGGCAAGGCTGTGATGGGCATGCCCTCCAGGCTTTTAGCCATCTCTTCAGGGTGCGGTTTCTCAATGACCATGTGATCTTCCCATTGGCAGTTCCAGATAAGTACAAACAGCCGAATGGTGCCAGACAGTAGAGCCAACCAGGAACTGAGAGAACACTGATTCTGCTGATGCACCAGGTGTGCTCAGATGCCAGCCAAGACCACACAATTCAGGGGCTGACAGTTCTAGATAAGCACAAACAACTGAATGATTTATTGATCCCTTTCCCCAAGTCCATATAACATCTGCTTCAGTTACAATTGAGAGGTTTAAATAAGGAATGAAAGTGGAGGGGAAATAAAGAGCTAAAACTAAAAAGATTGAAAAGGAAAAAGTTTTGAGGGGTAATGAGGAGCATCAGGGTACACGCTTGGGTTGGTTGTTTGTCACTGAAGAAGACAGTAACCTTTTGGGGGGAACTAGGAATTCCAAAGACGTTCCTCACACCTGCAATGTTGCCAGACATTCAAACCCTATAACCTTTGGGTCAACAAGACTCCTTTTTTTAAAATGCAAGTGTTTCCAGGCCATTAATCATTTACAGCTTATTACAAATTGTTGCTGGCCATTTGGTATCAACCCTATTGTAGAAATAAGAGTATTGATGGGAAGCAGATGAAAGGGAATGGTACTCTGTGGGACATATGTTTTAAAAGATTAGTTTGGCAAAAAGTGGGGTCCCTGCGTAGCCAGAGGGCCATGAAAAGAACAAAGGATACTTTGGGAAGCAGACAGGCTGAGAAGAAAAAAAAGGATTATCTCCTGGAGACAGGGAAATGGCTGAAAAAAGAAGACAGCTGGGCACCAAAGGAAAGCAATAGTGCCAACTCATGATAACTGATTGTTAAGTTCTCAGAGATTTTGCAAACCACTTGTTAAACCCAGCCATTATTCGAAATTAAAATATAAACTTAAAATTAAATAAATTGTATTTAGAAACAAAGGTAATAAACACTCAAAACTTACCAGTTCTTAATTATGACTACATTTTACTATTGTCTATGCTCTGGAAGTTATTTATAGCCACTGTAGCTATAGAGTGAGAATACTCTATAACGGTGTACTTTACACATCTCTTCCCAACTCTATGTTTTGCTGTGTCATGTTGGTAGATAGAAATTGGCCATGATGGGAGTATTTACACCATGGAAATTGGCAGACACTACAGATCAAGGCTTGATTTATTGTTTTGTTGACCACCCAGACCAAGGCTTGGTAAATCTTATTTTGCAAAAGGCCAGATATTAAATAATTTTGACTTTGCGTCCATTAAATCTCTGTCCAACCTACTCGACTCTGCTTCTGCTATTGTAATACAAAAGCAGCCATATACAATATATAAAACTAGTGGACATGGTTGTGTTCCAGAAAACTTTATGTACGAAAACAGGTCAGGGGACCAGATATGGCCCCTAGACCACAGTTTAATAATCCCCAGTCTAGACTTATAAAAAGTGATGGAGAAATGCTAATAATGCAGGTTAAATTCTAAAATGTGACTGTAGCCAATGCATGGTGAATAACAGAAAAAGACTGAGGAAATATTCTTCCAGTATTCAAAAACTATTATCCAGTTCAACAAAAAGGTTGCTCGTGTTGTTAACAAACGATTGAAGGCCCAGTGTCTAGCTCTGCTGTTTCCCTTTCTTCTTACTCATTAACATAAAGGGAAATCTCAGCCCACATTCTTATCAGAATGGCACTTGTCCATCAATTGCAATAATAGATTGGATACACTATAGATACAAGAGCCTCAAACAAAAGTCAACAAGAGCATTCTGTGGGGATCAATTGGTTATAAGGAATTTACAATCAAGAGTACTGTATATTTTAAATTGTGATTACACAATCTTTGTATCAATAAATATTTACCAGCACACCAGGAAACACTACTTTTTTAATGTCCCTGAAGCTATTTTGTTAAAGCATCAGCCAGGTAGTACAGGGTTTTACAATATTTGCGGACGAATCATGGACCATCAGCAACATTTGTTCTTTTTCCATCATTCACCCTCTGCCCCATCTGTATGGCAGCTCAGAGAAGGTCTGTAAGGATCACAGCCCGACTTCCCCAGGCATCCACAAGGGACTGCCTAGTATAGAATCCCTGAGAATCACAGGGATCCACATGAGATACACTGCCTTTTCAAACTGAACCCCAAAGTTTCCACTAGAGACATACATACTAGGACCCTTAAGTTCCTACACACCACTCCTGGGAAGTAAATGCTATTTTCAAACCAAAATTGGGTATATGTCTGACAAAGGTGTTGCACATGTAAACTAAGCGTATTGTAGGAAATTTAGACCATGTGGTCATATTATTGAACACCTTATTTTCTGCCTCCATTTCCAATAAGCCCGTTTGTGAGAAAGTTTTAAAACATTGACCAATGAATTCATGGAGATCAATGATTTAGCAGAATATCTGAACTTAAAAAATAAGGATGATTTTAAATGTGTTATTATTCTTGAGGAACACAATTTCTAGCCAAAACAGAGAATCAGACCAGTCTAAGAGTGATGTTATTTTAAGTCTACTTCGGAAAATGCTGCCTAGATCCAGGACCATTAACGATACTGCTGCATATAGTGTGGTCAAACAGTCAAAACATGTAGCCCTAGAATTATGACCCTAAGAATTGTATATGATTCTATAACTTGCTCATGTTAAGTTTTGGCTTGGGACCCTGTTTACATTCCTATTGCCTCTATTAGGCTGTGTGCTGTTAAAGGCAATGACTATGTTTTGTTCTAATTTCCCAAATGAGTGACACCTTTCACAACACAATGTATAGCCTCCATCACTACACAAGAGAGAAACAGATTTTGCACAGCTGTTGGGGTGTAACTTAGCATCCTCAAACACTGCACTGGGACAGAAAAATGTGCAGGCACCTTGTTCATTCTCACACAGAGAAAGAAACGGGTTTTGTGTACCAAAAAGAGCAGCAGACTTGTCATGAGAGCTGGGTTCAGATGCCGGTTCTGACCATGAACAAGCCTCTTGCTTCACACATCCCGCATCCCTCCATTTATCCCCATCTCCAGGGATGCGCTTCAAGTTCAGCAGTCATGTCTCCCACGTCCACCAAGGTTGCATACAGATTCTTTAACAGCGTGCACAAATGCTTTATGGTCTTCTCCCTGACCCGGTCCCTGCTGCACTTTATGCCACACCATTCCATTCTTTGTTCCAGCCGCATTGGCCTTTCAGTTCTTCGTATATGCAAAGCCCCTTCCTGCCCCTGAGCCTTTGCTCATGCTGTTCCCTCCCTCTCTCCAACCGTAGACTTCATTTCATCTGGCTGACTCTTCCTTATCCTGCAGACTTAATGCACTGCTTCAGAAAAACCACCTCTGAGCCCCAGACTAGGACAGCTTATGGCCTTTATACATTCCCATAGCATCTTGTACTTCTTTTTCATGACACTTGTCTCAAATGTATTTAATAGACTATTTGTGAAATTATTTATTTAATATCTGTTACCCTTGGAAACAGACTAGGCTAGACTAGAAACTCCAAGAGGTCAGGGACATGTGCCTCTGCCCCCTGCGGTATCCTCATTTTCTAGCACATAGTAGATACTCAGTAAATGTGTTGAATGAATGGCTGGAGAAGTTTTATCTCTCTGAAACTCATTCACAAATGGCAATAATTCCCACTTCACAGGACCTTCATGAGGACTACATTGGATAACCCATGTAAAGCCCTTGCATGGTGTCTTCTATATGGCTGACAATAAATGTTTGTTGAATGACTATAAACACTGTAACTTCTAAGATGCCACCTCTTTAAATGAGTATGGTTTAAGGACTAGGTTAGTAATTAGCATTTGTGAAGGTTTCTTTATTAAGTGATTAATGCAACTTAAACCTTGGGTGTTGAAGCTAAGGTATTATTAAGACAGGTGTTGATTGGCATTTGCTGGGAATAGGTAGTCACCTTGTGCCAGACCAAGACACATAGAAATGTTGTCCTGGGGGATGGGTTCACCAAGAGCTCAAGAGACAGAACAGAGCTGTCTATGGTTGAGAAGTGCAAGGGGAATCCCTCATACAGATAGAGGCACAATGATCCTTCCCGGGTAGTGACTTTAATATTCATCCCACAACTCAAAAAATCATTTCTCTTTCATTGTTTCTCAGAAATGTCATAGGTAGTATGTTCAATCAAAGCAAAGAAATAAACTAAGAGACAGAAAGATATGGGATCCAGGACACAGTTGGTCTAACACAGGAAATTGGAGACCAGAATCCCCAAGATGATGGAGATAAGAAAACCTAGGAGGACAAGTGAGTGACCAAGCAGAATAGCCACCTGAGCAGGTTGAAGGGCTCTGGAGCAATGTCAACAAGGGGAAAAGGTAGAGCTGAGAAACTATCTTACTGAGAGAAGAGTTGGAGAAAGAGCCAGGAGATAGATTTTAGAAAACCAAGCAAAGGAAAAATGAGATAACTGTGAACTCCAGGATGAGATTGGGGTTGGGTGGTGAGGGTGAAGGAGGATAAGGAATTAAAGAAAAAAAAAGTAGCCCTAGCACATTACATAAACAATATTTACATAATCATAACATAAATACTGACCTGTGACTTAACTAAAAGAGTAATATTATTTCCATGAGGACAGGGAAGGTGAATTGTACATATAGGTGGGGAAGGTGAGCACGGTGTCAGGAAGACCCTGTAAGTGATCTAATCTCTATTTTTCATAGCAATAAACTCAACAAATAATAAATAAATAATACAAGGAGCCAGAAAATACATTTAGGCATGTTATTGAGAAATACAAAGACCAGAAACAACATCTGAAAGGACTGGAGCACAGGGCTAGGAGGAGGGGAGTTGGACCGCTCTTGTTTATTACGAACCTGTAGTACTATTTGAATGTTTAAACTATAAACATGTATTTCTTTGAGTAAGAAAAATAGATTTAAAAAGAACCAGGGTAGAAGTGTGGCAAACAGTGAGTGATTTTTATTTTTCTGTATTTCTCAGTTTTTTGAGAAATGCCCACCTTTACATCCCCGGCAACCACCATTCTACTTTCTGTCTCTATGAATTTGACCACTCTAAGTAGCTTATATAAATGGAATCATATAATATTTGTCCTTTTGTGACTGGCTTTATTTCACTTAGCATAATGTCCTCAAGGCACCTCCATGTTGTGGCATGTGTCAGAATTTCCTTCCTTTTTAAGACTAATATCCCATTGTGTGTATATACTACATTTTGTTCATCCATTCATTCATTGGGTTCTGCCAGATGTTAGCTATTGTGAATAATGCTGCTATGAACATGGGTATACAAACATCTCTCCAGGATCCTGTTTTCTCCATTCTTTGGGGTATATATCCAGGAATGGAATTGCAGAATTATATGAGAAATCTATTTTTTTAAAATTTTTTAAAGAGCCATCATACTGTTTTCCACAGCAGCTGCACCATTTTACATTCCCACCAACAGTGCATGAGTGTTCCAGTTATTCCACATCCTTGCCAATATTTGTTATTTTCTGGTTTTTTTCATAGTAGCCATCCTAATGTATATGAGGTGATATTTTAATGCAGTTTTGCATTTCCCTAATGATTAGTGATGTTGAGCATCTTTTCACGTGCTCATTAGCCTTATTTTTGACGTGCTGATTTCAACAAGAATCATGGCTCATATTGCACCTGTGTAATCCTCCTTTACTGCACCTGGCAGAGAGCATGGGCAATTAGGCACTAAAAATACTTAATGAAGAAGCAGAGAAGGGGTAGTAAAACTTCATGGTTAAGCACATGGATTTTGGAGTCTCCTAGACCTTATTTGAATCCCCATTCCACACTCATGAGCTGCTGGCTATACGATCCTAGGCAAGTTGCATCCCTCTGTGAGTTTGCTCATCTGTAAAACAAGGAGAGCAAAAGAGCTTCAGTCACAGTTGTGAGAATTAATTGAGATAATGCAGAATATCTGTTCCCTATTACGTCCCCTGTCCTATTCCTAGAGGAAAACATTTTTCACTTCCTTTAATTTTTCTTCTGGCATTTGCATCCATATTTCTAAATAATATGATATGCTGCTATTCTTTGACATGGCAATTTTTTAAACATTACGGTAAGTGAGGATTTAGGTCTCTTACACCCCACTGTGCCTACCCGTGCTTCCAAATGTCACAACTTTGGGTTAACTCAATAATCAATGTTTGCATTTTAATAACTATGTACATCTTCATTTTTCACCCATTAGTCAAGAAGTATACCATGATTTCGTTTCCTTTCTTGAATATTGTTTTTTGTTTTTCCAGTAGTTAACCATTGCCTTCTTTACTTTTCATCTGCTTGGGGTTTTTTTTCCCTTTTGCTCTTTTTTGGCAAATGTAACAACACACCTGTTACACACATTTTTAATACTACTTTCCAAATGTTTATGCCAATCAGATATTCATTTTGTTTTTTCCCCTGGTGCTGTCCCTTCTGAAGCTGTCCACTCCTTGTCACACTGGACATGCTCTCCCTGGGATCCCTCTGGCTGTGCCTCTGTATCATGTGATCCCCTGATTCCCAGATCTGATTTCTTCCACTTTCTTAAACTATGTCCTTGTTCTAGCAAAGTGTATCTTCCTGAGATACTTGCCAAAATTAGGTGCACAGGAGGTAGAATTTTAGAGTTATTATATGCCTGAGAAGATTTGAATTTTTTCTTTACAGTGGGTTTTTTAATTGAGATGGAAATTGAATTCTAGTTAAAAATCATTTTCTTTTAGCAAGTTTAAGGTATTGCTCTTTTTCTTTCACCATCCAGTATTGATATGGAGAAGTCTAATGCCATTCAAGGCCTTTGAATGGATTCCCTCTGGAAGATTTTAGGATCTACTTGTCCTAACATTTCACAGGATAGGTTCTGATTCAGTTCTTGAAAAGTCAATTTTTTCTGGGTACAAGATGGATTTTTATCAGTCTGGAGGCCCATGACCTTTTATTCTTGAAACTTTTCTTATAATATTCCTTCCTTTCCTCTATTCTCTTTCTGAGACTTCTTTAGTCACACACAATCTCCTGGGTTGATTCTCTGTTGTTTTTGAGATCTAAAGTTCTCTCATTTCAACATTATGTTCTAAATTCTGTTTAATTTTTTTAATTTTTATTTTGTCTTTTATGTCTTTAATTTCCAAGATCTCTTTCCTCTTCACTAATGAATCTGTTTCCATGGCAACTTGTACTTGTTTTAGGTATGCAATGTATTTTTTTATCTCTGCAAAGGATTAGAATTATATAAAAGTTTCTGTTTTTTAACTTAATTTTCATTTCCCTGCCATTTCTCTGCTCTTTACACTATCAGGTTTTTTTTCCTTTTTTTTTTTAAATTCTTTCATTAAAGTTGGAAGTTTCCTCAAAAGCGATCCTGTCTTTGATCTTTAAAATTGAGATACTAAATAACCAATTAAAACCCAGAGGTTCGTAGTGAGGGCCTGATCAGGGGTCATCTCTGGAAACTGATCAAGTGTTGAGCTGCATTTTACTGGAGAGCTCTAAAAAGTAAGAATCTGAGCTGTTATCTCTTGGATGAGTCAGTTTCTCCAGAAAGGGATCTTTCCATCTTCTGCCTGGAGCAGGGCAGAGAGGCTGATCTAAGCCTGGCTGCCAGCATTCCAGGAAGAGAGCAGGAGTCTCACCTGCAGACTCAAACCTCTTCTTTATTTTCTAGATGATACTGCACCCTGTACTTGGCTGTCTCTAGATCTCCCTCACCTAGAGAACAAAAAAAGTCTCCTGGTTTGAGACGAGAAAAAAAAAACCTCTTACATCAAAATTCTCTATATTCTGAAGTTCAACAAATCCCCCTGTTTACTGCTACCTGTAGTAGCACAAGCTGCGTCCAAGCCTCAGTCTTTCTGTAGTTCTTCCCAGTAAAGCGGCTTATTTCTCACTGGTTCCACATCCACCCCATTCCCCACACTCACATAGACTATTTCTTCTGCCACTCTGGTAAGTCAGTTGCCACTTCTCCGTATATTTTCCATATTCCAAAACTTGTTGAAATGTCTTGTTCAATAATGTCTCCTTTCCTCCCTTTTCCTTGGTGTTTGTTTCTACTCTTCTTTAAATTCAGGTAAAATTCACATAACATAGAATTCATTTTAGCCATTTTGAGGTGTACATCTCCATGGCAATTACTACATTCACAGTGTTGTGCAACCATCACTTCTATCTAAGTCCCAAGACATTTTCATCATCCCAAAAGGAAACTTCATACTCATTAAGCAGTCACTTCCCTGTCTGCCTTCTCCCCAGCACTGGGAAACTACCAGTCTGCTTTCTGTCTCTATGGATTTGCCTACTTTGAGTTTTTCAAATAAGTAGAATCATATAATATGTGACATTTTTGCATCTGGCCTCTTTCACGTAGCATGATGTTTATGACGATCATCTATATTGTAGCATGTATCAGTACTTCATTCCCTACTGTGATTCAATAACCATCTATTGTATGTATATACCTCATTTTGTTTAGCCATTCACCAGTTGATGGACCTATTCCTAGTCTTTTATTTCTTTTCTATCATGGGCGGTTGGAATCAGGAAGGGGAGGTGATAATGTGGGCGTTTGATCTGACACTTTAGCTAAAATAATGCTGCCAAGTATTAATGAAAGCTTTATCTTACCAACCAGACAGCAGCCTGACTTTCATTTTTCACATCTGTTTAGAAAATAAGCTCTGTGACAAGTCCCCAGTAGAGTCACCACCAAAAGGTTGTAGTCCATTCCATCAGTGTCACAAATCAAATTCTCTTTCTCTTCCCCGGCCGGGGGTCTCTCAATCAGTTGAAGAAACCCCCAAAAAATGCTTGGAAAGGCAATCCCAAATTGTTTGGAATAGCACGACTGTTTGCTTATTAGATAAGTATGTTTTATTCCCAAGAGTATTTATAATTAAGTATAGAACTGATAAATTATTTCAAATCTATAGAATAATATATTATCCTAAAGAATACTGTTAAAGAATATTTCATGTTAGGCCAGGTGTGGAGACTCATGCCTGTAATTCTAGCATTTTGGGAAGCCGAGATGGGAAGATCTCTTGAGCCCAGGATTTCAAGACCAGCCTGAGCAATACAGAGAGATTTTTTTGTAGAGATACTGTCTCTACAAAAAAAAAATGCATGTTAAAGATGCTAAGGGATAATTTATATATACTTAGTATTTTAAGAGCATATGATCTCATGCTACAGAATCTCACACTTTATGCCCTAAAATTGGAGGCAAGTAATTTTGAGACATGGGCAACATCCAGTTTGGAGAATTGGCATGAAGAGATAAGTATACATTCTTAGGTGTCACTGTTCATTTTCAAAACATCCCAGGTAGATACAATGTGGTCTGTAGAAAAAATAAAAGGTTATGAGATGCCTCTGTGTCAGAATTTGCTAAACAGATTAATCCCCAAGTCAATTCCTGGAACAAAAGCTTTGGGGAGGTTACATTAAAGTGCCTAACTCAGACTCTTGAATTTCTTAAAAATATAAAATCTGAAGCACTTCTGGAGAAGATGGTGCATACTTCCCTAAAGTCCAGCCAACAAGGTTAATGAAAAAAACAAGCCCCCGGGAAAAGAGCTTAAGGCAAATTCTTATTTTAACCCAACCTTACCTTTTGGCACTACTGGGCACAATGCTAACCGTCCTTTGTTCTGATCTTGGAAGAGAAAGTCTTTCCTCTGCAGCTTTCTTGGGATCCCCAGGCGACGGGGGATTCAACCCTTCTCAGGAGGCTTCTGTGATCATCTGGGACATGGAGGCAGCAGAACTGAGTGGAAGATTTCCTGGACAAGCATGTTCCAGGCGCCCCTGCCTAACCAGGTTTGGGCATTATCCCCAGTTTTGCACTAGTGTTATGCGTTTGATTCCTGCAATGTCTGTCCTCTCTCATGACAGGAAAGACACAGGTCACTTCTTGCATAAGGCTACAAAGGGTCATACTCTGTAGGTTTCTAGCACTCTTTCCATGGTCCCCAGGGGCTGAGAGGCAAGTCTCTTGACTTAAGGATAAAATAGTCGCTGGGAGATGAATGGCCCTGCAGTGAACAGAGATCTTAATCATCTACAGGTTTTGTGTACAGCAACCACAGTACTAGGCTTTACCGAGAGACAAAGACCCAAGAGCACAGTGGAGGGCACACCAGCAAAACAGATCAGCAAGGCAGAGAGGCCCGGAAGAAAGGCAGGGCGCAACATGTTAGTCGTCAGCATATTGGTCAGGTGATTAAGGTAAGAGTTCCTAGGAAAGACAAATGAAAATATCGATGTTGTAGTTCGGGTAGGAACTGTGAAAGTCTTCCCTTTCTGGTCATATTCATCACCCACAATGTGACCATCCCTGTAACAGTCATCATATAATCAGCATCATCATCAGTGCAGATAAACTAAATGAGTGACAATATGCATCATGCTATTCATCACGCCCAACACACCCATCCCTGAAACCATCATCGCAGCCTCACCATCTTTACCTTCATCAGCACCAGAATGTCTGAGGAAATGTAAATTCATGCATCATGCTGTGGTCTTCCACTAAAAGGGGAAGAAAAATCTAGATCCATCCCAGCCCTCTAGGAATGTGTTATTATCATTACTGTTATTATTGGCTAAAATGTATTGATGCTTACCACAGGCACAGTGTAAGAAACCTTACAATAACCTGTAAGGGGTTAATGCCCTCATATTACAGGTGAGAAGATAGATTCAGAGAGGTTAAGTGATGTTTCCAAGATCACAGAACTAAGGAGTGGTGGAGCTGGGATGTGGACTCAGGCTGTTCGGCTTTACAACCCACACACCTCACTGGGATATAATATTGCCTCCTACAGCCTCCTCCAGTGGTCTGCAAATTGGAGTATGTACAGGAGGATCCACTGAGGGGAAGATGAAGATATTAGAATTGCTATTCATTTTTAATTCTCACTTCATACTTTTAGTTTCTGTTTTATAATATACTTAATTTACCAGTGTGATAGAGTACATAATGTAATTTATAAGTAAATAATTTATATTGCAGAAAATAGTAAGGGTACATGCTTAATTATCTACGGATAGAAGTGTGCAGCCAAAACAGCTAGGAGGCTGGGCACAGTGGCTCATGCCTCTAATCCCAGCTTTGGGAGGCCAAGGTGGGCAGATCTTCTAAGATCAAGAGGTCAAGACCAGCCTGGCCAACATGGCAAAACTCCATCTCTACTAAAGATACAAAAAAACAAAAAAAAAATCCAGGCATGGTGGCAGGTGCCTGTAGTCCCACCTACAACTCAGGAGGCTGAGACACAAGAATCACTTGAATCTGAGAGGTGGAGGGTGCAGTGAGCCGAGATCGCACCAGTGTACTCCAGCACAGGCAACAGAGACTCTGTCTCAAAAAATAAAAATAAAAATAAAAAAAAAGCTAGGAGACCCTTGGTCTGGAAAAAACTGACGTGTCCAACCCCATAGCTAGGCAAATGGAAAATTATATACAGTGGATCTGAGATTACCTCTGGACAAACACAATCAGTGTATACAATTGTGAATCCTGGTATGATGTTCTGCAGAATTAAAGTCTTGGTTTCAGCAAGTGACAAAAATTATGACATAACTTTCTTAATGGCCCTTCTAAGTTTATCTGACAAATTGATCTCACTAGTCTATGTATAATAGAATGATCCTATTATTATGGTATCCGTGTTAGAAACAGTAAACATGGATTAGTTGTCTGATACATTTTTAAATTAAAGAAATACAGTTTCTTCCCTTTCTAAAACCCTTATGAAAATGCACCTAATTGTTCTTCATTTAAAAAGTAGATACATGTTTTAAAGGGAATGCTTACGTTTAGGACATACATCGTGCAATACTGAAGTCACAAGATGTCTGAGACATGCTTCAAAATAAACTGAAGTCAGAGAGCAGATGGGAACCAGAAGAGGCAGAACTGACCACAGGTTGATCACTGTTGAGGTTTGGAGATAGATATTTAGGGTACATGATGTTATTCTGCCAACTTCTGTGTATGTTTTAAGTTCCATAATAAATAGTTTAATATTTAAAATATTTTTTAAACTGTCACAACTTGATTTTTTTTTCTCTTGAGCACTGTCAGAGCCCACCTCCCAACTGAGAAAGGAGAGGCATGATCTAATGTGGATTTCACAGAATTTATAGTGTGCCCTTTCCTGCCTTCACGAAATGTGTTAAATGTGCATACATCATTTGCTATTGTGTTAGAATCAATCTCATCCTATAAATACAATTAATAGGGGGAAAAGAGGATCTGATTGAAAAAATCATTATATAGCTGTACAGGGAAAAATTAAGGAAGGAAGCAAATCTCATGTATCATTGAATCGAATGTCCTTTGAAGACATTTTTCCACTAATATTGTTGGTGTGGGTAGCAATGATAGGACTTTTCACACATACGGGGTCATATATGATCTCTCCCTCCTGTGGTTCTTTTTTTTTTTTTTTTTTTTTTTTTTGAAATGGAGTCTCACTCTGTTGCCCAGGCTAGAGTGCAATGGCACAATCTCACAATCTCGGCTCACTGCAACCTCCACCTCCCGTGTTCAAGCGATTCTCCTGCCTCTGCCTCAGCCTCCTGAGTAGCCGGGATTACAGGCACATGCCACCACATCTGGCTAATTTTTGTATTTTTAGTAGAGATGGGGTTTCACTGTGTTGGCCAGGCTGGTCTCGAACTCCTGACCTTAGGTGATCCACCCGCGTAGGCCTCCCAAAGTCCTGGGATTACAGGCGTGAGTCACCGCGCCTGGCCTCCTGCGGTTCTAAAGGCTGAGACCATTGACTTAGAATCTGAGTTAGAATCTGAGTGTCCGCACTCAGAGGGACAAGAAGCTGTTTGGAGGACCCCAGACACGTTCAAGGGAAACACAGTGAGATGCAGACCAGAGTTCCCATAAGAAAAAGAAACCAACAAATGGTGACTGCTCTACCACTGGAATTAAACTGTGGAGCAATTCACCTACATCATCACTAAACAGTGCAGAGAAGACAAGGAACAGTGGGCTCGATGACAGCCCAGAGCTACTGAAAAAGCAAGAAATTGCTCCCAAAGGAAACACCCACCTGTGGGCCATACCACCGCTCCAAGAAACAAGAGCCAGATGCCAAGAGGCCTCAGGGAAGAGTCCTTCCAGAGTTCAGCCTCCAAGCACTCTTCAATCCTTTGTGTTCTGAGTAAGAATTTCCACACTAAGAGCTCAATTCCAATTACACCCCAAGATAGTATCAAAATGATAGGTAAATACAGTCCCAGCTTTCTGGCCAGGCAGCCAAAGCACACAGTGCCACAGGGGAAAAAATGGGCTGATTCAGATCTCTTGTGGTTATGACGTCTTCTTGGAGAGCAGCTGAAGGCAGCCGCGAGCAGTGTTTGTCAGGTGGTGCTACCAGGAAAGCACTGATGAGAAGCACAGGCGCGCTTATTGTGACATGGGCTTTCCTAGGAAGGGAGAAGAGGCAGCCATCTCTCAGTGATGTTTGAGATGAAACAAAAGAGAGTTATGGATGAGCCAGGGTGATGTGAGAAGCTGGAGTCCCTGGGTCCAGCTGGAGTCTGTGCAGTGGCAAGAGTCCTAGATTCACAAAATCTCAGAGATGGGAGAGGTTTGACTAGTGTCAACTCTCCCCCAGGTAGGGGAACCAAGGGGCGGTTTGGGGTGTGGCTTTAGATTCCCCATAATCTCAATTAGCAACCCTCCAAGTCGCCCCAAATAAACACACACTCTAAAGGAAAGAACAGTGCTTGATCTGCACATGCTGTTTCAAGGAAAATTCCCGTCACCCCTTATGAAGAGATCAGCACCCCTATGCCTCTCCTACATAGGAATTTTGGAAGCTTCTCTGCCCTTCCCACCCTTCCTAGATATCTAATACTTGAATCAGCCCTACCAGTAGTCAACATCCTTTGAGATTAGAGCTTCACAGCCCCTGGTGGAAGCCCACTCCATCTGTGAATGGCACCTTCTGAACATTTTTTTCCTAACCATTTGGTAATACAGATTATGAGCCTGAAAGGTTCACATTCCTTATAAACCGGTAATTAATTTCTTGATTCTGCACAGAGGAAGTGCCTCTCAATATGATAAAAGTTCAACACAAAAATATGTTTTCACAACACTGTTTAAAACAGCAAATATTTGGAAACAACAGAATACTAATAATGGATGGCACACCCACTGGATTCTATAATCTTCAGCCATTAAAAATGATGTTCAAGGCTGGGGCCAATGGCTCACACCTGTAATTCCAGCACTTTGGGAGGCCAAGGTGGGCGGATCACCTGAGGTCAGGAGTTCAAGACCAGCCTGGCCAACATGATGAAACCCCATCTCTACTAAAAATGCAAAAATTAGCCAGGCATGGTGGCATGCACCTCTGGTCCCAGCTACTTGGGAGGCTGAGGCAGGAGAATCATTTGAACCCAGTAGGCGGAGGTTGCAGTGAGCTGAAATTGTGCCACTGCACTCCAGCCTGGGCAACAGAGTGAGACTCTGTCAAAAAAAAAAAAAAAATTCCTATAGAGAATATAGCAATACAAGAAGAATGTAGAATACAAAAACATGTTTATGATGCTGAAATGTTCAAAGAAACCAGTACACTAAATTCAATATTCATTAGGCTCCATTCATATTTTTAAAGGAAGGAAACCGATTATAAAAACGACTAAAAATGATCCCACTTATAAGAGGCGCCAAGAATGTCAAATTCATAAAAACAGAAAGTAAAATGGTGGTCACCAGGGTAGGGGGAGGGGAATGGGGAGTTATCATTTAATGGATATGGAGTTTCAGTCTGGGGTTATAAAATCTGGAGATAGATGGTGGTGATGGTTGCACGGCAATATAAATGTACTTAATGCCACTGAACTCTACACTTAAAAATGGCTACAATGGTAAATTCTACGTTACATATATTTTACCACAATTTAAAAATGCACCTAAAAAATGACTAGAAGGAAATAAACCAAAAGTTAAGAGAAACTGTATTTGCGTAGACTTTGTTTGATGGTTTTTGCTTTGTTTTGCTTTTTTCCTATTTCTAATTTTCTGTATTCTCTAAACTGTCTACAAGGAATCAGTTTAGTTGTTCTTGGAAAATCCAATAGGTCTTCTTTTTAAAAACTAAGTTCAACATGATATTAAATAAAATAATGTCTAATGTCTTTCTACATGTTTTTCAGGGCACTAATAGCACAATTTCCTCACTTAGGTTAAATATTTTGCCTAGCTTGATTACCCTGCCCATTTTACAGGGGAGGAAACTGAGCCTTATAAAGGTCAGGTAACCTCCTGGGATCAGAGTGTGTTGGCAGGAACAGTTTTGAGAATGATAACCATCAAAACCTCAGGCCATTTTTTGCTGAATGTGGCCAGCATAGACCACCAGGATTCAGTTTGCCCTTGGACACAAGTTTCTTCAAGAAGGAAGAAATCCATCTATTAACTGGGATTCCAACTAGCCTCTACCTTCAATTATTTTTTTAGCTTTCATGATAAAGAAACTTCTGATTTTTTAAAAACTATCTTGAATTTAATCCAAAAAAGTCAATTTCTTGATGGATCGTATAGCCAACTAATAAACTTCAGCAAACTTCTAAAGTTTCTGCTTTTCAAGATTAGGGCACTGGGGACTTGAAACTCTGGATCATTAAGGACTCAAGCGCAAGAGGTGGGACACACTGAGGCAGGAAACTTAGACTCAGCTATTTTGGAATAGTTTTTTTACGGCAAGGGCTAGTAGTGGTTTAATATTATAATTTCATACACGTTCATCAATTAGAATATGAAATTACCCAAAGCACCCATTTCTCCCACATTCTGATTATTTTTTCCTTTAAATAAACAAGCAGAGAGTATCCAGAGGACTTATATCTTAGGCTCTGAAAGGTACAATGAAGATGATCCCACACCTGTTGGTGTTCTAGGCATCACTTTTCCTAGTCCCCCTTCATTCTGATTCCCAGCTAACTTTGAGTTGCCTTTATTGCCAGCTCAGTGACCTGAAGAATAAAAAAATCAGGTAGTTCATGCCAGACACAAGAAATATTTATAAGCCCTTTGCTAAATCCCCTGAAACAAAGAAAAGCAATTCTAGTATCCAGCACCTAGTAATTAAGGAACAACGCCTCATTAGTAACAGAGGGAATATAGAGCAATGAGAGGTCTCAGCCCAAACTCCTGCCGAGCCTAAGAACCAGCTGTGTCAGCGGAGGAAACAGATACCAGTGAGTCAGTCATACTTAGTATGCACTGACAGCCATCAAATTTAGAGGGCATTTTGTGAATCCACATGGGATTGTCTTCTGGGGCTCCAAATCCCGTGGAAATCACAAGAATAAGATGGAGCCCCTTGGAAATAGTTAACTCCAGAGAATTCATAGCAAAAGGCCTAACCAGGCATAGGGAAGCAGCTTCATTGCAAATGTCAACTCTGACCAATGGGGCCATGCAGGATGCTGGATTGCAATGGGTCTGAGTCTATGGTCACAGAGAGGAGAAGTGGTGTGCACCCTTGTGAACGTGTCGGGAGACAGGGGCTGGCAGCAACCATGTCAGGCATTTATTTGCCATCTCTGGCCCAAACTGTCATGAAAATTTCTCTTCCAAAAAGAGACTGCCCAGGCAACACGAGTCTTAGGCAAAATTGAGAAGAAGATAAAGTTCACTTTTAGCAGACCTCGCTCACTTTCTTCTAACATTCCCCTTCTCCCAGTCTCCATCACCCAATTAACTTTATGTTTTCTCACTAATATCTCAGCCCCTCCATTTTCTCCAGGGAGCTAATGACAAACAATGATTTGAAGAATGTACATCTTAAGGGAATCAAAATGTCCATCCAACGAGCTGGTGCGTGGGCACGGGGACCACCAGATGGTGAGAGGAGAGGAAAGGGATTCTCCTCACTCCCAATCCCATCCCTCCCCCACGGATGTCTCTGACAGAAATCCCTGAATCTGAAAAAAAGGAGAAATCAGTGTTCCCACTGCTTCATCCCACCAGCCCTAACTCTGGTTTCCTTCTGTTACCAGCACAAATACAAAGAGTTTTCCACAAAATCTCAGGAACAGTCCCAAGACCCACGTTAGCCTAACTAGAAGCGTCACACTGGGCCCAAGAAAGAAGTCACGTGACACTTTTTCTGGGTTTATTGCCTTCCTCCAATAACTACCACTAATTCACCTACACCATCCCTTCTCTCACCCCAGACCTGGCTCAAGGTGCCAAGAAAGATAGAAGGATAGAGAAGGAGAAATTCAAATAATGGAGGAAGAACGGACATTGTGTGGCCAACACTTAGATACCAGCCTTCTAAGGGACTTCCATGTGTTCCATTTGACTCTGTGCCATAGACAGATGCCCCTCAGAACCTCTCTTTCTCCTCAAAGTCCCAAGGATTGGCATCCCAAGCATCTGGCTTGCGGTCTCTGGCATCCCTGCCCAGGACTCAGAAGCCCACTGCACACAAACAGGTACATCTGCAGGTGGAAGAAGGAAGGGGATGCACACCCAGAAGCCATCTTTATTCCTCGTCAAGAGGAAGGACAAAGCAGGCTTGGACAAAGGCAGAGGAATATAGACTAGGCTCTCCCTACCTCATGTCTGGGGTAGTACTCTGTCTGACCCAAAGGTGAGACTCCAAGCTTATTGCTATAAAATCTAGATCCAAGCCTAGCAGGCTGAGCTCACTAGAGTAGAGTGCAGTCTTTGTTCTGGCTGCGTATGCTCAATTTGCTTGGGAAGCAGACCCAAGGTCACCCGAGGACACTTTCTATTCTGTTCTGAACCAAAGGAGTTTAGAAGCTACCCTTGCAAACCTCTAGGTCTCTGGACCCACTTCTCTGCCCCCAAACATAGCTAGGAAATTTTTTAAAAATAATGAATGAATGTTAAATAAATGGGTGAACTAATAGCTAACTCAGGCCCTTCAAGACCATAGGCTATCCCCAGAGACAAGCTTCTTTGACTAAATCCTCAGCTGGGAAGGATTAAAGGCCGGTCACCCCACCCTCTGCATGGAGGCAGCTGCTCTCAGCAAGCCTTCTTATAGCTAAGTTAGACTCACCAAGGGATTCTCTGTTACCTCCTACCCAGTCTTTGTCCACCCAGTCAGGACATGGTGCCTCTACTGGGCCAGCCAGCCCAGCACTCATCTGGCCAGCCTGGCTACTCCCTCTTCCCTGTGCCCACCAGGGAGAGAAAGGCAAGTACGTGGCACAGGTGAATTGCAAGGACTGACTTCAGTATAAATCATGGGTCAGTCATTTTTGGCTGAAAAACTCAGCAAGTTACTTAATTCCTATGTGTCTCTGTTTCCTAAACTGTAGTCAGGGGATAATGACATCTACTTCATTGGTATTAGACTCCCTTCACTAGAATGCAAATGTCACAGAAAGGGGCTGCCAGGATGCTTAACCTCAGGGCACACCATTCATAAGGTGGCCCATGTATGTGGCTCCCCCTAGAGTTGTGTGCTGTTAATTGCATGTAGTAGCCCTGCCACCAGAACAGGGATTTTGTCTGTCTTGTCCCTTGATCTAAATTAAGCACCTAGAATAATGCCTGGCTCATAGTAGGAACTCAATAAATATGTGTTGGGTGAATGAATAGAAGCTTTGTAAGGATTTAAGTAAATAATTTTCATAAAAGGACTGTCTTTTGAGTCAATGCTCAATAAATGATAGTAGTGATTATTGTTGTTGATAATGTTATTAAGTATAATGGGAAAAACCTTTCCCCCCAGCCCTGCCTTTTATAAATCCATGGGTGTGAACTTGAATGTTGAGGGCCATTCTCCACCAAGCCTTCAGCTCCAGATGAGAATGGCTTAGCCCACATTTTCTCACCAGGTTACAGGAGACTTTGCCCTTCTCACCTGTCTTGTCCTGGCCTTCCTGCCTTCAGCCCAGCTCTGCCCCTAGTCTGACCCCAAGGCCACTACAGAGCAACAGGACTGCCATCTGGCTGCCACAGGGCTGGCTGTCTCATCTTCATGTAAAAGTCAGGACTTTCCTCTTCTCTGCCTTTTCTTGGCTCCCTCATTTGGCACCAGGGACCCTATTCAGGAGCCCAGTCCTACTCAAAGGCCACAGCTCTTTCTTGGAAATGACACAGACCTGAAAACAAGGGGCTCAAATATCTTTGCCAACAGGGACATTGCATAACAACAGCACCGTGTTCTGGGTGAAGGGAACCCTGTTCCAGAGAGGAGAGGGAATTCTTCCCTCCACTCGGGAGGCTGTGTGGATTTTTAAGCCACTTCTCCTTTGTAGGGACAGATTTGGTTTTGAAAATCAGGTGATCTTGGCTTCAGCCTGCAGGTGCCTCTCCTTTCCCACCGTCACCACACCCACAGGGACAGCCTCCTTTCTGGAGACAATAGGTGGCTGCCACCTTTGTAGAAAATGAAGTGTCAGGAAGGAACCCACCCCAGAAATAGGACCTCCCTGAATGCCTGGGATTCCACTATTAGTGATTCACTCCTTTGAGTTCAGCACCACCCACTCTCTGACTGTCTTGGAAAACACAAATTCTCTTGGTGCGGGGGGCGGGGGAAACACATTAAGCTCCTAACACCTTGAGTGAAGAAATTCATCAGGTATGTTATTTCCTCCTGATGGAAGCAGTATCTGGGTGCTTGGCCCTACATACTATGGGGCTAGAGTGGGGCTCACCAGAATCGAAGAAGAGAGAAGATTTGGAAGTCAAACTAGGTCAGTGTCACCAGGTTTCCCAGAGCCGGGCCTGCCTACACCCTCCAAAGACAGCTGGCTCTGGAGCTGTTTATTTTCATGAGTTGATCACCAAAGGATTAAAAGAGGCAACACACACAAAGGGCCTACCTCCATACCCCCCATGTAATAGATACTTAACAAATGTTAGTCTCTACTACCCCTCCCATGAATGGAAGAATATATTTGTCTTTCTGGAGAGGGCTGGTCTGTGCCTGCCCCTCATCTTCAGGGACAGGGCGAGTCAAAGAAATCAGGTTTCTCTTCCATTCCTTTTTAGAATGTGGGTCCACTTCTACCCAGCAAGTCCCTTCGGCCCATCGCTCCTTTGCTGCTGCTATAGGAGAGAAAGTAAGAGAGGGCCAGGTGAACAGGCTTAAGTGACTGCTCACTGGATACCTGGTTTCTCAGGTCCCAAGGCTATGAGAGTCTGCAGAGTCTCTTGCTTGGCATTGATTGGAAAGCTCTGCTTTCTGATTCTGCAAATTCTCTCCAGAAATCCCAGCCCTGTCTGAAGAGAATTGCAGAGCTGGAAAGGGTACCTCCTTTGCCCTCTGGCTTCCAGTTAGACTCAGCCAATGCAAGGTACCAGCAGGAGACTCCAGGGAAAGAGGGGAGTGATATGAACTCTTTATTTCCCCCACTCCCTCCGTACAGGGCCAGAGTTGTGGCCGTAGCTGTAATCCCCTAGCTACGGCCACAGCTCCTGCCAGGCAGTCCCCTCACCCACGGTGCCAGCAGTCACTAGGTCCATTTACCTAGTGGTGGAAAAGGTGTCCTGCTCTTGCTAGTTCCTGGTGCTTTCCCAGCTCTTACTGATCATCATCCCTCTACCTCCCATCCATCAGGGTCATTATAAGGACAAAATGAGACTACAGATACAGTTTCTTCACAAATATCTGCTGAGAAAGGAAACAACCTTAAGAAAAATCTTCCCTTAGGAAGAGGCCACATAGATCAGGACCACAGTGAACATCGATAGGTCACCCTGTCTATGCTCAGCCAATCCATTCTCAGGATCCCTGGGCTCATGCAGAATGTCCAGATCCACTCTGTCCATGTGCAGCAGCACTTCATCCATCTGTAGAGCACAGATTTTAAAAAAAAAAACTTCTCTTTTTGGCTGTAATGGTCATTTTTAGTCACTTCTCTGGGCAGTGAGAATTTCCCCTCGAAGTCTACACATTGGCTAAGCCAATGAGAATTTGATTTCAAATGTTACACTTCCCCAAAGAAGGATGGAAAATAAACAGAAACAAGTTTGTCCCTTTTAGTCCCTTTCTTTTTGAAATTATTAGATTCACACTTTAAATCAGAATGCAGGTTGTTCTCCCAATCCTGGAGTCTCTGAGTGACCAAAAGAAAAAAAGATGACAGAGCTGCAAAGACTCATAGAGTACAGCATCGAGTATGGCAAGCCCCCATTTTCAGCTAGGGAAATGGAAGCTCAGAAGTTGGAAACGACCTGCTCAAAGTCACAGAGCCTGCATCAAAACTCAGGTCTCCTGGCACCCCAGATCAGCAGCCTTCCCACCACCCCAAGGACACAGGCAGCCTAGCCCCCATTTACCCAATTAGAGCCCTTACTCTGCTGAATTTACTCATGTTTCCCCTACAAGACAGTAAGCTCTATGAAGGCAGGAATCAAGCCTTGTTTGCTATTTATCCCCTGCCTCTGTGTCTGGGGCACTAATTCCATCTTGAATGAATGAATGTTTTGCGTACACATCTCTGTGTTTCTGGACATCAGACATTTTAAAACATGACCACTTCCATCAGCCCTCATCTGTCAGCATCGATGAAGAGAGCATTCAAAGTCATAGCTCTTAGAAAAAGCCCCCCAAGGCTATCCTTGTGCAAGCCCCACTGTGGGGGTCCTCACTCCTGAGCTTTGTATACAGGAGAAATCTGGGACAAATGAATATCCAGAAAAGCCTTGGAAAGAAAGAACTGGCCAATCTCATTTACTCTGAGAAGTGACTTTGAGCCGACAGAAGAGCAGCTTGCTGGGAATGTTTTCATGAAAGGCAGCCCACCACTCGGTGATTATTACTTATTAATAGCTGCCATTTATGGGATGCTTACTACCTACCAGTCCCACATTGCATCTTTACATGCGTCATCTGAATTGATCTTTATAATACTCATTGTACAAGTAAGGGATTTTGTTCCCTGATTGACAGATGAGGGAAATCATCCTCAGAGGCTCAGCAACTTACCAAAGTTCACATCACTTCCACATCTGTGTCTACTCCACTTCACCACTGTGCTTCTTCCAAGAATACCATAGGTTTTCTTTTTTTTAATTTTCTGTTTTTATTTCAATAGGTTTTTGGGGAACAGGTGGTGTTTGGTTACCTGAATCAGTTCTTTAGTGGTGATTTCTGAGATTTTGGTGCACCCATAACCCGAGCAGTGTACACTAAACCCAATGTGTAGTCTTTTATCCCTCGCCACCCCCCACCCTTTTCCCCAAGCCCCAAAGTCTAAGGTATCATTCTCATGCCTTTGCATCCAAGAATACCATAGTTTTCTTAAAACATCAATTTTTGATTTATCCTGCCTTCCCCTCACCCACCACAACTCCAGCCCAGAGTTTTCATCAGGGAAGAGGAGGAGATGTTGGCAAGTGCTGGGTTCAGGACAATCTGGTTTGCTCTGAGAAGTGACTTTGAGCTGACGGAAGAGTTGGGGCTCAGTGGGTAGTTTGCAAGGAATGCAATGAGTCCAGCCTTCAGAATCCTGTTTTTTTTTTTTTTTTTTTTTTTTTATCCTCTTGTTTATAAAACACTATCTGGACTCCTAATAACAGATCATACAAAAAGCTTTCAACTCATTATATTATTTAAGCTGCTCAACAACCTTAAGGTAAGGAAAGATTACTATCACCATTTAAGATGAGGAAATAGCAGCTCGGGAGGTTAAGTCACTTTTCTAAGGTCAGCTAGTGATTGGAGGAGACAGATTCAAACCCAAGTCTTCTTACACTCAGACTGGTTCTCATTCCCGGAACTGAACCATCAGAAGAGAAATGTGGGGCTATGGACCAGATGAAGCCAAAGTAGCCTTGGCATTGACCCAGCTTGCTCTGAACCACAACCTCCACCACTGAGTTTTATGAGATCACTTAATTACTCTTTGTTAACACCAAGCAAGATGGCTGCCAAGCTCAGGACACAAGCTCTGCACTTCTCACTGCCCACTGGCATTCTGAAAATGGTAGGCAGCTTTTGTTGGTTGAGTCTAGAGAATGAGCAGGGCTCTCTTCTGGCAACAGAAAGTTGTAAGGCACATGAGCTGGCCAGAGGGCAGAGTTGGGGCAATGCTCTGCTAACTCAGGGAGCTGAAGACAAGTGTGCACACAGCACCCTACAGCATTGAGGCCAACACTGTAAAGTCCCACTGGTGCTAGATATTCAGAGGACACAGAGGAAGAAAAAGAGAGGGAGATGCAGGCAACAGGCAAATTCCATTTTTACAATTCCTTTAGCACTCAGCCTGGATAAGAGAAAGGGGAACGTTTACGTTCAAATTCCAGAAACATTATGTTCTGGCTCTGACCTGCCTGAGTCTGTTTCCTCATCTTCATAGAGTTGCTGGGCAGATCCAAGATACTGTATGTGATCATATCTCTGAGCACACACCACTTAATATATTGCAGGTACTCAGTGCCACGTACTGATTATCTCCTTTAATCTGAAGGACTCTGCAAGGTCTAAACTCTTTTATCCCTATTTTACAATGATGACACTGTCGCAGAGAAGGTGAGTAACTTACCCATGACACACAGCCAAACATGCTGGTGCTGGGATAATAAATATCAGTTAGTAGCAATAATCCTAGATCTGACCTGTGAGCACCTTGAAAGTAGACATCTGGATTTGGGTTTAGCTTTTTTACATTTTGAAATATTTCAGACCGGGCATGGTGGCTCACGCCTGTAATTCCAGCACTTTGGGAGGCCAAGGTGACTGGATCACTTGAGGCCAGGAATTTGAGACCAGCCTGGGCAACATGGTGAAACCCCATCTCTACTAAAAATACAAAAATTAGCCGGTGTGGTGGTGCTTGCCTGTAGTCTCAGCTACTCAGGAGATGGAGGCACAAAAAGCTCTTGAACCTGGGAGGTGGAGGTTGCAATGAGCCAAGATCACACCACTGCACTCCAGCCTGGGAGACAGAGTGAGACTCTGACACACACACACACACACACACAAATATATATATTTCAAGTGTACAAAAGTATATATGATTACAAATGCCTGTGTAACACTCAACCTAAGAAATAAGATATTAAAATTGAAGTCTCAGCACACCTCCCTTACTTTTATTCTTCCACCTTCCCCAAAAAGTGCCAGTTGTTTATTTAACAGTATTTATTGAGTACCTACTCCATGCCATGAGTGGTTTCCAGATGTTGAATTGTTTTAAGCATTTTCCTGAATTGTGGGTTCATTATTTCCACACCTGTTTTATATTTTATCATATATTCAAGTATCCATTAGCAATATTTAGCATTAGTTGTATGGTTTGAAATTTTATACAAATGGTAAAATATTTATAAACGCTTTTGAAACAACACCTTGATAATCTTTTTGTTTTCATTTTTACAGACAGGGCTTCACTATGTTGCCCAGACTGGTCGTGAATTCCTGGGCTCCAACGATCTTGCCTCCTCAGCTTTCTGAGTAGCTGGGACTGCAGGTCCGCACCACCACGCCCTGTCAATAATCTTGTTTTTAAGAGAGACAGAGACAGATAGAGACAGACAGAAACACCCTATCACTATATTAGATATGGTAATATCAATAAATGCATTGAGAGATGAACTGCAAAAATACATTCCTTCCTAAGAAAAGATAGGAGCCTCTCATGTCATTCTGAACAATCTCACTTTAAATGGGCTTTGCAATAATTTAGTGGAGCTATTGGGAAGAGTTATGGAGGCTGATACTATGACCTGTTCTAACCAAAATTCAAGCTAAAACCACAATGAAAAATGATAGTGACAATAATATAGCTTTACATTTGTATAGTGTGTTATCATTTTAAGGCATTTTCATAAACATTACTATTTCTTGGGATGGTAATGTGTTAGTGAAAAGAAATTCTGGTGATCACCCACTCCAGAGGATTTCAGAGTTCATTTTCACAGCAAAACACATTTTTTTTCCGAACTAAATCTTACCTGGGATTTCTCAGGTTTAAACAAGACTGGAGAGTCCAGATGCTGTTCTCCAATCAGCCTCCTCCCCATCTCCTCTGTCCCTTAAGAAAACCATGGAGATCCAGGACTCTAGAGAAAGATCTGGTTCACACACCTTATTTTACAGAAATAAATATGGGAAGGGATGCTGAGCTTGGATCTGTTAAGTCTCTACCTTGGCCCTATCACGCATTCCTCACTGAATTCTTCCAATAGAGGTGCAGCAACATTAAGCGCCTTGCCTGAGGTCACATGGCTGTTTTACAAGTCCATGGGAACTTCAGTGAGTGGGTGGCTGAGTCAGGATTTAAAATCCATCTTCTAATCCCACGGGCAGACCTGCTGCCCTCTAAGCCAGGGGAGATTAATCAACTAATACATTTCAACCTCATTTCTCTTCGCTACACTTTAGTTGGATGGATCTTTCTGAGTTTATCTTCTAAAAGCAGGCTCAGTCCAGAGAATCTGTGACCTTATTGGACGAGATTGGGTAAAGATGTAGGTGCCCTGGAGGACCCAGCACATCCAGGCCTTGGCAAAGGTGGGATGTGTAGAATCTTTATGAAGCCTCCTTCTCTTCTCCCTTGGGGTATCCAGTCCTCTCCTTTCTGGTCCCCAGAGCCCTCTTGCTGATCCAGACGATCCCCTAACACCAATTTTCCTTTCTCATCCCTCCATACATGCCTTCAGCACATTCATCCCACATGCTGCTCCCTGAAAGTGTGCCAGTATAATCCAAGATGACTCATTGCTTAACCTACCTACTGAAATATGCATATCCTTAAGGTAGCTCAAAAACAGCATATTAATGGTGGAAATTTTAGGTGCCAAATTAGATCAGTCAGAGAGTTATTTATAGAGAAGGAACATTTTTGCTGATTCTCCAAAGATGCCACACAGATCTACAGGTTATGGTTCCAAAACACCTAATAAGCCATGTGTTCAGATTGGCATTGGAGAAGCTCTAAAATCTGTGTCTTCTGGCACTTTCAGAGAAGGAAAGAAAGATTGAGAACCAGGCTCACCCCAGCTTGAAACCGAAACACCTCCTCTTTTTACCATGAGTAATAGAAACAGCTAGTGCTAACCAAATATTCCATGTGCTTCCCAGTATTCCCAGCCTGCCTCACAGCTAGGTGAGCCACATGACTAGTTTTGGACACAAATTACAGGCATAAGTGACACGTGCCACTCCTGAGCTGAAGTGCTTAATGATACCTGTGCCTGCTCCATCTCTCTCTTTCTTCTCCTGCCTTGATGTCTTGAAGGTCATTTGTTCTAGAAGATGATATGCCTATAACAAGGAGGAAGGTCACCCAGCCTGCACCAGATATTTGGTGAGTGAGAAATCAACATTTGTCCTATTAAGTCACTGAAATTTTAAGGTTGTTTATGACTACAGCATAGCAGAACTTATCCTGACTAATATACCAGGGAAGGTGACATTTGCAGTGTTTGTGCTAAATAGGACTGTTGGCAGTAATTTCCCATTCTCTGTAACTCAGGAGCTAGAAAAAAAATCAATATACCCCTAAAGGCATGGTTCTAGAGGCAAATTAGATTCCCCCAATAATGCCCTTGTGTGAAGCATCAATATAATAGAGACATGAGTGCTTAGAGAGTTCTCATTCCAATGTCCAGTCACCTGTGCCATGAGTGCCAGAGGCACTCATAGTGAAAACATCAGGGGCAGCAGTTCCATAACATTTAGATCACAGCTACAGTGGAATGTCTTTGGGATAGTGCAATGATACCTATCCAGACTTCCACTCCCCCAGCCCTTAACAACAGTTCTTTAAGCTCCTAATTCCCTGAAATGAATCCCTCTCTGCTTGAAATACCTGGATTGGTGTCTATTTCTTTCCCTGATCTATGACTGAATCTTTGTTGCTTTCAAAAATTTGAAACTCTTTGAAAAATGATTGATAATATAGCAACAAAGAAGAAGATGTGGAATACTCAATTCAAAGGCTCAAACCTAGGAAAAGGCAGGTTCTCTGAGTCCTCTGGGAAAAAGCTTGAAAACAAAACAAAAAAAAAAATGTAGTAGGATGAATTTTCATGAAACTATGAATTCATTTTTAAAACATAACATAAATTATTTCATGCAAATTCTTCACATGACAGTTGAAGGAGGGGGCCCAGAGAATATAAATGCTTTCTCTAAGGTGGCACAGCCAATAAAGGGAGAGCTGTGTTTCAAACTGAGGTCCCTGAGACTCTGGCCAGTGCTTCCTCTGCCACATAATGCCCACCTTGAGTCTTGGTAGAGAAGATTAGGCTCACCTTCCTGAGCCACTAGAGACCTACCTGAGTGTTAGAGAGGAGATATATGTGGAATTGGTTACTCAGAGCTGGGGAAGTTCCGCCACATGCTCACTGCATTTAAGATTGTGGAAGACATGCTTGAAATAAAATCTAATGATTGGCATTTACTTTTATGGCATAGTTTATAAAAATATACAGTCTTCATAAAGAGTGGCCATTGCCAACCAAAAGCCTGTTAAGTGCCTTGAGCTTTTATTTCAGAACTAACAATCTGAGCTCTTCACATGCCCCAACTAATAATACCCCACATGACCTTGAGCTTCTGGCTTAAACTTCTTGTGTCTCATTTTCTCTGTCTGTAAAAGGGAGATAATGACACTAGCCACTGGATCATGTTGGCAACATGCTTGGAGATCCCCAGATCAAAGGTGCTCTGCTTCGACCAAGCAAGATGATGATGGTGTTTACCGCCATTAGTGTTGTTATTATTACTGTTTTTGTTGTTTGGAGTGGCCATGTTGCAGCCCAGGAAGTAGATATGGCTGAGTTAGCACCAGGGCAAGAATAAGATGACATTTTGTGCTGCAGAAGCCATTGATATAGAGATTGCCCCTTTCATTGACATCATAGGAGGGCACATTCCCAGACTTCCCATGTGGTGTAAGGCATACTCCTCCCTGGAGGTAGGACCATGCCTAGAACATTTCCAAGAAGTATATATCTACCTTTTGGGGAAAGAGACCAGTGAGGAAGACCCCATCATTTCTTTGGCAATGTGATTCCCATAATCATAAAGCCAAATAAAGAATCCTGGGGCCGGCCGGGCACGGTGGCTCACGCCTGTAATCCCAGCACTTTGGGAGGCCGAGGCGGGAGGATCACGAAGTCAGGAGATCCAGACCATCCTGGCTAACACGGTGAAACCCCGTCTCTACTAAAAATACAAAAAATTAGCCGGGCGCGGTGGCAGGCTCCTGTAGTCCCAGCTACTCGGGAGGCTGAGGCGGGAGAATGGCGTGAACCCGGGAGGCGGAGCTTGCAGTGAGCCGAGATCGCGCCACTGCACTCCAGCTTGGGCAACAGAGCGAGACTCCGTCTCAAAAAAAAAAAAAAAAAAAAAAAGAATCCTGGGAACACAGCCAGGACGCTTCAGATTTGAGTTCCAGCTCCACCACCTCGCAGCCTTGAGAATAGGCTACCATTTCTCAGTGTCATCATTTTCGGATTGCAAAATAAGGGTGTTTCACTGAAGGGTTCCCTTGGTCTCCTTGTGTTGAGATATATAGATCCCCAAAATATCACAACAGAAGATTCTGCAAAGATAAGGTCTTGCCTAGCACGTTTCTCCATAGTTTAGTGACAATATCAGTCACTGCTCTTCCGACAGGCTGTTGGCCTCTTGCCCACACCCAACCTGTCATGTTCTAAGTTCGGGACAAGGAAATGTACTGAACTTGTTTTGAAATTTACTAGCAAACTGGGGACTCAACATAGAAGGCCAAATTCTATGCACTGGTAAATACTTATTGCGGTTTTCGAAGTATATTCATGCAGAAGCATCATCTGCCTTTATGCGGCCTGTATAAAAACGGTGCCCCATTTAGGCGGAAGAATTTGAAAAGAAACCTCCTCTGGGTACATGCTGCTGTGTGGGTACATGGTTTATAAGCAGATTGTACTTTGTACAAAGAAAAGGGCATCCCTTTACCTAGATGGGCACAGTCCTCTACCAGAGCCCAACTCTTGATAATGAAAGATGAGGTGGATTTCAATTCCACGACCCCTTGGCCAGCACATTTGTGCAGTATGCACACTACACAACCATTCATGGCAGCCCTAGATCTGCTGACTCCTAGGGGTTCCCTGGAGGACCCTCATGAACCTCAGAGTTGATGGGAAACTTCCTCCCTACCCCACCAGCTGGTTTTTACTTTTACTGGCTTTACATGATATTGGCCATCGTTGAAAATTTTGTTCAAACAAATAGGACCACCATGCCCCTGTTGCCAAGTTACACCTTCCTCTTTGGAGGGGGACACGAAGTAGGGCCACTCACACTCATGCCTAGCCCCTTTACTTCATCTCTACCTTTTTTATTCCCAGAAGGTCGGAGGTCAGTGGTGAGGGAAGGAACTGACTGATCACATCTACTTCCCAAATCTTGCTTCTTACATCTGGATCCTTTAGCACTTGAACCTAAAATTAAACACTTGCCACCTTTGTGCAGAAGTTACACCATGTCATGAATGAAGAAAGGCCCTTAGGATGTGATAAAGTGGAAGATGGAAGGTGTGGTAGCATGTGCATTAACTTTTCACATGTCATCCTATTGCAAACTAGCGCTTGTGGACAGAAAGAAGTAGAGGGGCCTCTGAAGGAGGCACCATGGGTGCTCTGTGAATGAGATCACTCTGGAGTCAAATAAGAGCCAAGAAATGGGATTAGGACTAAAAGCAGGATAGGGAGGCTAGGTGAAGTTACATATCAAAAGATATCTTTTCAAAAATGTGCATTCCCTATAGCCCAGCAATTCCATTCCTAGGGGATTATCTTAAAATAATCAGATAAGTGCACAATGACTATCTACAAAGAAGTCCCATGCAGAATTGTGTACAATGGAAAAAATTGGAAATAGTCTCTGTATTCTACATTACAGAACAGATATGTAAATAACTATGTTCTTACAATTGAATATTATGTAACCATCAAAAATGATTATCTAAAACTATATTTATTGCAGTGAAAAGATGTTAAGATATCTGGTTAAGTGAAAAAGCAAGTTGCTAAACAAAAAGTATAGCATATGGTATATTTTATTGCATAGATATAATAATATACAGACAGTTCCTGACTTAAAATGGTCGACTTATGATTTTTTTACTTTACAATGGTGCAAAAAATGATAAGCATTCAGTAGAAACCATACTTCGAGTACCCATATGAGCAACCTTTTTTCACTTTCAGTACAGTACTCAATAAATTACATGATATGTTCAATACTTTATTATAAAATTGGCTTTATGGTAGGTTATTTTGCCCAACTGTAGGCTAACGTCAGTGTTCTGAACACATTTAAGATAGGCTAGGTGAAGCTATGATATTTGGTGGGTTAGGCACATTGAATGCATTTCTGACTTAGAATATTTTCAATTCACAGTGAGCTTATCTGAATGTAATTTCATTGTAAGTTCAAAGAGTATCTGTATTATATTTATATTACACATATGTAGACAAAATATTTATATATCATAGATTAGCAGTAGCTATTCTGATGTAGGTGGTCTCTGTTTCACTTATCTATATGTTCTAAATTTTCTATAAGCAACAAGTATTACTTGTGAAATTAAAAAAATAGAAAGTATCTGCCGGTCTAGATCTGAAAAAAAGAAAAAGGGGAAAAATAGTCACGAGAATGTTTTTGGTCATGTTCTGAAGATAACCTGTTGTGATCTGGAGAAAACAGAGGAAAGTCACTCATAGGCAAAGCAGAGGGCTACCACTTCTGGGAACTTATTGATGAGACCAATGTTCTCAGCTTCAGGGGACAGCTCTTCTCTGCTCCTGACCTTCACAAAAGGAAAGGGTATCAGCTGGGGTTCTTGATTGCAAACAACAGAGCACAGTATGGCTAGTTTCTGCAAAAAGGAAACTTTCAAAGGATATTGGGACTTCTGTTTCTGGGGAAATGGAGTAGGTATACTTCACACTCTTTCCCCCACTAAGTATGTCTGAAAACCATAGACAATATAAAAGAATCACAAGGAAATTCTGCAAGGTGCATAGAGGAAGGCAGACAAGCTAGGTAGTTGGGACCCCAGGAAAGTCACAGATATGAGATTTCTGGGTTTGCTTTCTGTCTCTTATATCCCAGGCTTAGGTGAAGCATGTATTCTGTAACCCAGAAATGCAAATGAGCACAGACATTAAAAGTCCCAATAAAAGCCAACTCTCTTTAGCCAAGGACCAGGAAAGGGGGAAGGTAGCAAGACAGGAAACTTTTAGGCAATAACTGCTCTAGTCCAGCCAAATATCGCAGAAAATACTGTGCCCACCCTCACCGGGGCCAGCAAAGGCCAAGTGGGGAACTTAGACCTCCACTCTTGCCAGGCTGTCTTATTACTCCTTAACACCCCTTGCCTGCGTGGTGTCAGAGAAGGCCAAGTAGAGAGCTGGGACTTTCATCACTACCCAGTGGTAACAAGCACCCACCTACCACAGTGTAGGTGGATCTCCCATGGGGAGCCTGGACCGCCACCCCCAGCCAGCAATGTCAGGGTGCCTTTCTGCTTCTGTGCAGGATGGTGTCAGAGGAGCTAAGGGAGAAGTCAGGGCTTTACCATCACCCAGACATAATGAGGCCACTTCCCTTTACTGCAGTGTCAGTGGACGACATGTGACAAGCAGTAACAAGGCACTCCTACCCTTCCCAGACAGCGTGGTATCAGTGAAGGCCTGGTGGGGAACCAAAACTCCCAATCCTGCCCTTGTAATGAGGAACCTCCCCCAGTTCAGGTGTCAGTAGACCAGCAAGGCAGCTCTCCACTTCCTCTACAAGAGCAGTATCAATAAAATAAAGCCCAGCTAAAACAGAAGGCTTCAATAAGATCCAGGGTAGCATAACATAATAACCAAAGTGTCCACTTCCCATAAAAAATAATTCTCCACCCCAAGAATCAAGAAAATTTTAACTTGAATGTAAAAGAGATAATCAATAGATGTCAACATCAAAATAACAGAAACAGAATTACCTGCAAAGATTTTCAAGCAAATATCACTGAAGTGCCTCAGTGTACAAATTATAAATATACTTGAAACAAGTGAAGAAATAGAAAGTTTCATCAAAGAAATAGAATGTCACAGTAAATAAATAGAAGATAAACTGGAAAATATAATGACCAAAAAATTTAAAAACTTAATGAATGGGCTCACCAACAGATTGGAGGGCACAGAGAAGAGAAACAGCCGACTTGATAGTAATCCAGCAATAACCCAGTCTAAATAACAGGGACGTAATTGGAATGAAAAAAAATCAACAGCACCTCAGGGACTTACAGAATTATCAGAAAAGATTTAAATGCATGTCATGGGAATTCCAGAATGAAAGGAGAGAGAGGGCAGGCCTGAGGAATTATTTGAAGAGATAATGACTGAAAACTTCCCAAATTTGCAAGACATAAACCTACAGATTGAAGAAGCTGAGCCATAAACCCAAAACAAGATAAATCCAAAGAAATCCATTCCAAGACACATCATAGTCAACTTCTGAAATTCAAAGACAAAAATCTTAAAAGCAGCTAGAGAGAAACACCATACCTATAAAAGAAAAACAATTTGAAGGACACTGTATTTCTCATCAGAAACTAAGGAAGAAAAAAGGGAGTGGCACGAAAAAATTACTCAAATGCTGAAAGAAAAGAACTGTCAACTCAGAATCCAATATCCAGCAGAAATATCCTTCAGGAATGAATGAGAAATTAAGACATTCTCAGATGAAGGAAACGAAGAAAACTTGTCACCACCAGGCCTACCCTAAAAGAATGGGTGGAGAAACTTCTCTGAACAGAAAAAGAAAAAAAAAAAAAAAAGAAGACCAAAAAACGAAATCTTAGACCAAAAAAAGAAATCTTTTTCCTTTATTAGGAAGAAAAAAGAACATAACAGCAAAAATATAAGTGAAATCTATAATCATTTTTTCTCTTGAGTTTTCTAAATTATATTTGATAACTGAAGCAAAAATTATAACATTGCCTAATATGTTTTTAAGTGTATTTGAAGGAAATATTTAAAATATAAATGAAGGGAGTAAAAGGATATAAAGGGAGATATGTTTTTATACTTCACTTGAACAGGTATATGTCCATGCCAGGTGACTGTAACAAGTTTTATGTATATATAAAAGTATATATATAGTTTTTAATATACATATAAAAGTTTTATATGTGTGTGTACATGTATATAAACACATATATATATAATTTAGAGCAACCACTAAAAAAGCTGTCAAAGAGGTACAGTCAAAAACATAACAAATAAATCAAAATTTAATTTTAAAAATGTTCAAATAAACCACAGGAAGGCAGATAAAATAAAACAGAGAAACAAAAACAGAGAACAAACAAAAAAACAAAAAATAAAATGCATATTTAAGGCCTAACACACCAACAATTGCATTAAATGCAATTGCATTAAATGTTGGTCTAGATACAGAGATTAAACACACAAAGAAGACAGAGGTTGTTAGACTGGATCATAAAATATGATTTCACTATATGTTGTCTCACTTCAAATAATGATATTGGTAGATTGAATGTAAAAAAGGATGGGAAGAAAAAGTCACGCAAACTTTAATCAAAAGCAAGCGAGGTGGCTATATTAATATCTGATAACGTAAATTTCAAAGCAAAGAAGATTACCAGAGGTAGAAAGAACATTACATAATGAAGATAAAGGGTCAATACAGAAGGAAGACATAGCAATCCTGAATAGGTATGCACCAAACAATGGAGCTGCAAAATATATGGAGTAAAAACTTAAAAGGAGAAATAGACAAGTTCACAGTTACAGTTGGAGACTTCAATACCCGTCTCTCAACAACTGATAGAGAACAACTAGACACATTATCAATGAGAATATAGAACTTAACAACACCATCAACCAAAAGGGTCTAATCAACATTTATAGAACTCTCCACTCAGGTACAGCATAATGCACATTCTTTTCAAGCATCTGTGGAATATATACCAAGATAGACCATAGCCTAGGCCATTTAACATGCCTCAAAATATTTAAAGCATATTGAGTATCTGGATCAGATTGAAAACTTTGCCACCAAGAATAACACCCAATCCCCAGCTGCTCCTGCAGAGGTGACACTGCCAGCACCACTAGGCACAGACTCCACGCTGACCCTGCCGGGACCTTAACCACTGCTGCCCCTGAAAATGGATCCCTTGCAGGGATCCCTGCAAATTATCCCTTGTAGGGGTAATATAAAAAGTGGGCTTTTTCATAGTACCCCCTTTCAAAATCAAATTCCGCTTTGGGGGTATCTCATTGAAGGAGCCAAGTCCTATTCCGTGACCCAGCTGTAAAGGGGGCTGAGAAGACATGAGTCTGGCTCCTCTGTTGGGAAACCAAGACTCAGAAAGCAGAAACAAACCAAAGAAAGGTATTCAAAAAAGCTAGCTGCCATGAGCCTGGTAAATGCTCACTACAGAATGCATGTTACCCAGAGGTCTGCACCAGCAGCCCTGCCCCACCCTCTGCAACTGGTCCAGGGACTGGGCTCCTATGCATTTGCAGTGGGAAGACCTCAGCTCTCCCTAGAGAGCCTGCCTGTATTTTTAGCTTTCCCCGGCATGCCTCCCCACACCAGGACTCACTCTTCACACATGAGAACTCAGGTGGAAAAAGTCACCAGTTAAAATGAACTCATTGCAAGCGCCACATTATCTCACCCTCCAATCCTGCTGGGATGACTTCTTATCTTCAGATCGGGGTTGTTTTTGACCCAAAATGAATCAAACTCAGACACAGGATCAGCTATCCGTCAGGAGGGGCAAGTAAGGGAGGGTGGATCACGCAAATGTACACACACATTCACACATGACAGAGCCATTCCTGTCACTCTCAGAGAGGAAGACAAGTGACTTATTTACACTCTGCCCCAGACAAACTGTGCAGGATCCCCCTGGGTCCAGATTTGAGAGCTCACAGGGCACACAGTTTGGGCAGGGAGAAAATGGCAAGGAGAGGAGCCGCCCTCCTCACGCAAATGACCCAAGTGCTCCCCCACCCATGTGACACTTCGGACTTCAGAATGAAGAGACAGAAGGACAAAAAAAGAGATGGGAAGCCACAGGGGATAGTGGCTAGGAGCTTTGGTGTCAGACAGACCTGAGCTCAAATCCTAGCTTGGCTACTTCTTACTATGTGCCTTGGAGCAAGTTAATCTCTCCACATTAAGTTTGTTCAAATGTAAAAATACGGTGGCCAAGGTCAGAGACACACAAGGGATCTCCAGCCATCCAAGACAGGATGCGGATCTGACTCCCGGATCCAAGGTTGGGGAAACAAAGATGGCCTGAAGCAGAGTGTGCGGCATGAGAACAAGGCAAGAAAGCACAAGAGACCCACCTCCGGGATGGGAGCCCCCCTCCTTAAATTCTGTCTTGGGTTCTCAGAGGGCAGGGTTATGTGGTAGGACTGAGAGCCCAGCTGAGGGAGCAGGTTGGAGCAGAGTTAAATGGAGACCAAGTCCATGGACATCTACAGGCAGGAAACGGTCAGAGACCTTGCTCTCAGGCTCACTGTGAAACTCACACACCAGGAACCACTGTTCCCTCAAAATCAAGTGGAAGGAGAGTCATTCCCCAGTGAGCACTCCCTCATCAAACACCTGGCAGCTGCCAATAGAAAACCAGGTCAAGAGGCATGAGGACCACAATATCTGCTTCCGGCAAGTTCCACCAAGTGATTTCTGGGTTTCACTACATGGCTAAAATCCTGGCTCAGCCAGACACAGTGGCTTCTGCATATATTCCCAGCACTTTGGGAGGCCGAGGCAGAAGGATCGCTTGATTCCAAGAGTTCAAGACCAGCCTGGGCAACGTATCAAGACCTCCGTCTCTACAAAAGAATCCAAAAAATTATCCAACTTTGGTGGTACATGTCTGTAGCCTCAGCTACTCAGAAGGCTTAGGTGGGAGGATCACTCGAACTGGGAAGGTGAAGGTTGCAGGGAGCCGAGATCGCACCACTGCACTCCTGGGAGACAGAGAGAGACCCTGTCTCAAAAAATAAAAAATAAAAAATAAATCCCAGCTTCTTTGTGACTAGCTGTGTAATATTAAACATGTTGGTCAACTGATCTGTGCCACAATTTCCCATCTCCAAAAAGGGGGAGAGTAACTATTCTAACTATATAGGAGCATTGTAAGAATTAAGTGAGATAATATCTGTCAAGTTCTTGCAACAGCGTCCAGAACATATTGAGCACTTGGAACATAGTGTTCAATCAATGTTACTCATAATTATGGTTATTAGTATTAGTATTAGTGCCATTCTCCTCCCAATCTGACTACCAAGGAAATAGCCTAGGAAACCGCCCTTTCTGATTATCGTGGGAACTTGGGAGTGGGGATGACATTCATAAGGAAATTAAAAAGTCAACTGAAACATGTAGGTGACTTTATTCTTTGGGGTCAACAAGACATACAGAGCAAAGACCAGGCCAAAGGGGAGATGCTTCCAAGGCCAGATAGATCTTGGTCCAAAGTCTGGTTTTGACCTTGCTCCGTGACACTGGGCATGTTGCTTACGTTCTCTGAGCTTCCGAATCCTCATTTCCAACATAGGGATAAAAATCTGCAACACCTTCCTTGCAGGTTTATTCCTGTGGATTAAATAATGTACACAAAACAGGCATGGGATGATGCTTAAATTGCACCCAGAAAAAAATTAGTTTTTTTCCCCCTGTTCCCAGTATGAAACTCCTCAGCTTCTAGCTTAAATATCATGGTTCTGAGCACAATCTCCAAAGTAATAAAAAAAATCTTGCCTCCCATGCCATCTTTTCTTTCCTTCCATCTGAATTCTAAACAATGTCTCACAAAATGCAATAGCTAACATAATACTGACCTCTCACTGTGGGGAAGCCCAAGACCAGCTCCTTCAATGACTGTGCAGCATTGAACATGTTACTTGGCTTCTCTGGGCTTCAGTATCCTCGTTTATAAACTGGGGATAACAATCTATAACATCGAATTTGCTGATTTAATTCTGTGGACTAAATTGCATATTGTGTATACAAGAGTCTTAGCTTAGCACTTGGTGCATAATGGGTGCCCCACCCTTTGTACACATCAAGTCATTTAATCCTCACAGCAATCCTATGTCCTAATGTTTCAGTCTGAAACTAATGCTCAGAGAAGTTCCTCCACTGACCCAACATCACACAGGTGCCTCCAGCACCCTTCTCAGCTTAAACAGGGGCTCCTTATTTCTCCAGGTGTTGGTGCCCATGGTTCATTTTCAGAACCGAGAGCATGCCAGTTTCACAAGGAGATTGCTGGCAGGCCCCACAGTCTCTGTTACTAGAAACTGAATTGTCAGTGAAAGAGGCCCATTGTGCTGCCTCTGAATGAAGAATACCCCATTTAGAGAAAGAATTCAACTAGCTTTTCACAGAGAAAGAAGACAGCCTTGGTGAAAAGAGAGAACAATGCAGATCATTCACCAGGTTTTTACTTAACATCCAAGCCCAGCGACCAACCAGGTTAAGGGCCGTACAGCACCCAGCAAGCTGAGGCCACACTAGTGTGCAGGAAGACAGGAACGTGGGCTAAGAAGTCAGGGGACAGAGGTTCCAGGCCCAATACCTTCTCTGTCCACCTTGGCTGACTTAACTCCTGGACCCTCATGAATAAAATGAGGAGAGTGAACAGGTTCAAGGTTCTACCATTTAGGTTCAGTAGAAATACGTTAACTCACCGGATTGTCTACACTGCACTCAGCTGGTTCTCAAATGTGACTGCACATTGAAGTCACCTGGAGAGTTTTTAAACTACTGATGCTTGAGGTGTCTGCCCAGTGACTGATTTCATGGTATGGGGCACAGCCTGGGCATTGGGAACTTTTTTAAGCTCCTAAGGTGATTTTAAGGTGCAGCCAAGGTTGAAAACCATTGAGCCCAGGGGCAAGAACTGCCTTTTTATCCACAGCTACAACCACAGCTAAGTGCAGAGCTTGGCATATAAATATATGTGGAATGATGGGGTCCACAGGTTGCTCCAAGACATTTGGGAGAAGCTGTCCAGTTCCAGCCTCAATGATGGCCGCTCTGTGGGGGTTTTTTTTTTGGTTTGTTTTTTTGTTTTTGTTTTGATTTTTGTTTTTTTTGAGACAGAGTCTCACTCCATCACCCAGGCTGGAGTGCAATGGCGGGATCTCAACTCACTGCAACCTCCACCTCCCGGGTTCAAGTGGTTCTCTTGCCTCAGCCTCCCAAGTAGCTGGTATTACAGGCACCTGCCACCACACCTGGCTAATTTTTTGTATTTTTAGTGGAGACAGAGTTTCACCATGTTGGCCAGGCTAGTCTTGAACTCCTGACCTCAGGTAATCTACCACCTTAGCCTCCAAAAGTGTTGGGATTACAGGTGTGAGCCACCATGCCGGCTTTCAATCATCTGTTGGGATTTGTGGCAGCTCTATGTTTATCAATCATCTATTGAGATTTAGCACAAAGTTTCAGTTTTTTTATGATAAAGAGCTGTCTCCTTTAAACCTTTTTTTAAACCAGTGAACCATAAAATCTCTGAGATTCTTTCCAACTCCAAAACACACTGTTCCCAAGACCATAAATCCCTTCTTACTCTTTGAGAGCAATATTGTTTTTCAGATCAATTATCAGAGTGGGCAAGGCCTGGGAGGGTCCCTCTTGACAGCTGCTCTGCATCCCCCTTACCCAAGCCAAGAGCTTTGTCACATTGTCCCTCCCTCATCTCTCCCACTGACCCCTTCCTGGGCCTGCGCCTCTGTGGTCTGTGTTCCCCCACGTTCCATTCTTCTCCCTCTTCTTCTGTCACTTTGTACTCGTTCCCTGAGTGAACTCAAGCATTCCTGAAGTTTCAACTCTCATCTATAAGCTCCTGACTTCCAAATCAGTATCTCTAGCTCCCTTTCTTCTGAGGTCCAGACTCAGCCATCCAACTGTCTACTGAGTATGTCCCCCTCAATTTCCCTTTAGGCACCTCAAATCCAACCTGTCCCAGAAATGAACTCATTCCTTTGCCCCACCCAAACCTGCTCCTCCTCCTGCCTTCCCTATCTTGATGAGCAGCATCTCATCTACCCAACTGCCCAAACCAGGAACCTCCAGAATCATCTTCGACCTCTCCCTCTCTTTGTCTTATACCCCACCCTATGAGTTTTATCTTTAAAACAGCCACTGACTTCATCCAACTCTTCCCTTTCTGATTTATTTATTCTCCACAGCACTGCCAGAGCACCTCTCAAGAATGCAGATTTAAAGATGTCACTGGGGCCGGGCTCACACCTGTCATCCCTGGACTTTGTGCAGCCAAGACGGCTGGACCACTCAAGGTCAGGAGTTTAAGACCAGCTGCCTAATGTGGTGAAACTCCATCTCTACTAAAAATACAAAAATTAGCTGGGTGCGGTGGCACGCACCTGTAATCCCTGCTACTCGGGAGGCTGAGGCAGGAGAATCACTTGAACCTGGGAGGCAGATGTTGCAGTGAGCCGAGATTGCACCATTGCACTCCAGCCTGGGCAACAGAGTGAGACTCCGTCTCAAAAATAAACAAATAAATAATAAAGATATCACTGGGAAGGAAGTTCTGGTTCCTTAGCAAGGCAAACAAGAGAGATAGATCGTCCCCAGCACGGCACAGGCACTGCGCTGTTTGTTCTTCATCACCTCCCTCCCACCCTTACATTCTGACCACAGTGGCTGACCTGGGTCCCATTTGCCATTTACTACACATCTCCTGTGTACTAGCTCCTGACAGTGCCTGGACATACAATCTTTCACCCTCCTTGCCTTCATCTTCCAACTAAAATGCACTGCCCCTCTCCATGTGGCAAATAACTTACCTATTTTCCTTTTTTAAAATTTTTGGGCAAAATAAGATTTATTTTTATTTATGGTTTTTGTTCTCTCGATTTGATGATCTTTTAATTTTGAGGAATTACAAAATGAAGTACAAAACAAATAATAACATAAAAAATTCATATTTTACCTCCCACGATTTTTTTTAGATTTTCATTTTAGTTTCAGGAGTACATGTGCAGGTTTGTTACATGGATAAATTATGTGTTGCAGGGGTTTGATGTACAGATTATTTCATCACCCAGGTAATAAGCACGGTAACCAATAGATAGTTTTTTGACCCTCTCCCACCCCCCATCCTCAAGTAGGCCTCCGTGTCTTTTGTTCTCTTCTTTGTGTCTATGTGTACTCAATGTTTAATTCCCACTTATAAGTGAGAACATGCAGTATTTGGTTTTCTGTTCCTGTGCTAGTTTGTTTAGGATAATGGTCTCCAGCTCCATCCATGTTGCTGCAAAGGCCAGGATCTTGTTCTTTTTTGTGGCTGTGTACCTGCCCATTTTTCAAAGCTCAGATAGCACCAGTTTTCAGAGCTTTGTCTTCCCTCTCCAGGGCATGCTTGATCAAGGAGCTTCTTAAATAATAAACAGCAAACACTTAACATAGCATTTATTATATCTTAGGCACTTTTCTAAGCACCTGACATATTTTATTTAACTAATTTAATTCTCACAACAACCCAGTACAGGTACTATTATTATCCCCATTTTACAAATGAGGAAACTGAAGTACAGAGATGTGAAGCCCAGGAGCTGGGACTGGAACTCCCTTCGATGATGCTCTTAACCACTGCCTGCTAAGAACATCTATCCAATACACATATTATCTGTCATAACAAAACTGTTACCATGTTTTTCAGAAGAGAACTATTTCCTTCAAACAAAATCTTCCTCTGATACCCCACCAGTTGCACAGAAAATAGGGGGCTAATCATGGTAGACAGAGAGAACACAATTCCCCGCCACCCGCCAACCCCCAGCACCAACTACAAGAGAATGCTAAGGAAACCCCAGGGCTCCAAAGAGGAGAGCGTGAGAAGCAAAGTCCTAAGATATCTTCTATTTGCCATTCTGCTGTTTACTGGCAAGATGGCCTTCATACCCAAATGTAGTGATGAGACTGCAGAATCTCCCCCACCCAGCAACACAGTTTCTGTGTGAAAATGTCCAAGCATCTTAATGATTAAAGAGCCCTGTGTCATTTCCAGATGGCTGTAGCTTCTTCCATGAAAAACCCAATAGGTTTCAACGCTTTTGCTTTTTCTTAAGCAGAGTATGCAAAGTATAATTTAACCTTCTTGTAACTCGGGACATTCCATTGAATATTAATTGTTGGGCTGTGCAGGAATGTCCTATGCCACCTAAATTTGCTTCCCATACGTGAAACAAGCCCATACTTGAGCGTTCAATTGTGCGTTTTGTAATTTCACTGTTCTTATCGCTATCAGAGGGTCAGGTGTCATTTCTGCTTTCAGTATGCTTACCTCTAACAGCTTCTTCCCCACCTCTTCTAACCTGTTCTTTCTAATCAGCTATGGTTAAAACAAAAAAAAACTTGTTAAAATTGTGCCTAAGGTAAGAATAGGACAGAAAAGCTTCTATCTTAGTAAACTGAATGTCCTTTAGAACAATGACTTGTGACTTCTCTACTGCGGTATTAGAAGGTCTCTTCCCATCTTCTTCATTCATTTAACATTTACTAAGCACTTGCTATGCCAAAAAAGAAAAACCTGGACTGGCTGCTGAGAACAAGAAGATAGATAAAACATAGTCCCTGCCTTCAAGGATTGCATTTAGAATAAGAGACAAGTAAGTAGATATAATGATGCCACCATGGTATAAGCCCTGTGACAATATATGTACAAAGCACAAAAAAAGCATTTAACTCTGCTGTGGAGAGAAGCAGCAGTCAGGGAAGGCTTCCTGAAGGAGGTGGTGTGTGGTCAGGAAAGGCTTCTCAGAGGAGGTGACATGTGAGCCAATTCCTGAAACATCCATTGACAAGAAGTCTCTCTGTCCCATCACCACCAAGACAAAGACAGACTGCCAAAAGGACACACCAGGAAAATGCAAAAGCAAAGAGGCATAACATAGCTCAATGAGTCTGGGAACCCCAAATAGTTCAGGGAAACTGAAGTATGTGTGTGCTTGTGGGAAAAGATGGGAATGGCAGCTGAATCTAAGAAGAAAACTAAGTTAGCAAATCGCTCATCTATTTTTTAAATGCTTGAAGGAAAAATAATGCAAATTTCCCAGAGCAAATTGATAATTAACTTTATCCCACCCATATGTATTTCATGAGCCAAATCAACTTGCTGCAGGGGAGAAAAGAAATCACTAGCAGTGAGCAATTCCCATCTGCTGGACATGCTGCTGTAAGAGCTTTACATGGATCATCTCATTTAATTAACCCAACAAACTGGGAATTCATATTATGTCTATAAATGAGGAAACTGAGGCAAGGAGAGGTTAAGTAACTTTCCTGAGGGCCCAGAGAAAGAAACAGCAATCTAACAACAGAGACAGGGACCTTAGCATTTTGGTTTCCGTGGAGTTGAAGTAGGTGAGCTGGTAGGGCCCAGGTCTAAGGGTGTGAAGAAGGAAATGAGGTGAGAGGAGGAGAGAGAAAGAGAAACAGCATGAGTGAGAGTCAGTAAAATAGGGAGAGAAGTGCAGGAGTGAATGTAAAGGAGGAAAGAAGAGACATTGCCATAGTTTCCCATGGGAGACCCCCTAAGCTAAGGCCTAGGGCTGGAGGCCCCACCGCCCAGTAGACCCTTTGGCAAACACCAAAGGAGAGTGGACCAAGCCCTAGATTCCCATATGTAGAGCCCGAAGGTGCCAGCCATGTAAGTGAGGGAGGAGCTGACCAGCAGCCAGAACGGTGAGCATGAGACTGAAACAGGAATGAGTCTTCCACCTCCATGACCCAGAGACAGTCAAAGGAGATGGGACTCGAGAACTCCTGGCTGGATGAGCTCTAAAGAGCAGTCAGCGCAGATCCCTTATTCTATCGTTGTTGAAACTGAGAGAGGCTGTGAGATTTGCCCACAGACTTCCAACACTAATATGTACTTTTTCTCTGTCTGCCTAAAATTACTCAACTGGTAAGAGAAGAAGCAGAACTAAACTCTAGAGCTCCCGATCTCTTGCAATCCGAATGTTTGTCACTAGCCCTTCCTTCCCTCAGGAGCAATTGCTTAGCCAAGTTCTGGAGACTGAAGTTTAGGACGCTCACAGGGAGAACTACTCTTCCAAAGGTCACAGCTTCAGGGGCAGAAGCAGAGAGGGTAGAAGGCTTTGTGAGTGTAGCAAACCTCGGTTGAGCTCATGAGGAACAGACATTTGTGTGTTACTCCCATGAAGTACCGGATGAATCCTAATTCTTTCTCATGCTTTTCTTGAATAATCTGGACTCCCACTGACTGAGCAAGGGGAAAAGAATTCTAGAAAAATAAGTGGTGAAAGCCTAGAAACCAGAAAACCTTTTGTAAGGAAATTTCATCAGGGTGTCCTGAAAACATTCTGTGTAATGCACTCTGCAAAATGGTCTTCTAATATTCAGAAGCATGTTCTAGGATTGCCTTGCTGGCTGCTAAAATTTTAACAAATACATGCCATCTCTCACTGTGCCCTGCTTCCCTGACTTCTATCCCTGGAACCCCCTGGACTTTCCCACAAGCCAGCTGGTAAAAGTTGCCTGTTCCATCGGGGGGGCTTCCAGAATCTCCAGGATAAGTTCTGATTGGTCCATGCTTGCGCGAGTACTATTTGTCAAATATTTTGAATATCACCTCTGCTTACAAAAACTCTGCAGTTCAGTTTGAGTAAGTTATGTGACATTAATGCTATAATTACTATATGTATACGCTTTCCACCAACCAGGTACAAATATCTATTGAGAATCCACAAGGGTCAAGCCCGGTCCTCAAGCACCAAAAGCAACAGGGAATAAAATCTGACATGGGTCTGTGCAGGGTTTGTGGAGTTTCCCCACTAGTGGGGAAAGTTCTAGGCTGGACCCCCATTGCCAAACAAGGAAACCTACTATAGACATACAGTATTAGCTAGTGATTCTCAACTGGGGCTGGTACAGTCCCTCTCCAGGGCTTCTAGAAAAGGGGGAGACATTTTCAGCTGTTGTAATAACTAGAGGGTGCTACTGGCTTTCACTGGAAATGCAAAAGACAGTCTCACAAAAAGAAAAGTTGTCCTCCCCAAAATGCTAATAGCACTCAGGTTTACTAGAGAAAAAATTAGAATCAATCAACATTAAACCACTATTCAACAAAGTGTTGTGCATATTGAACCACCACCTGCCAGAGTTTTTTAGGATGCTCGCCATTCAAAAATTGGGCAGAATCTACGGGGCAAAAAGTTCTAAGAATCAAATGGGCAAAAAGAATTTAAAGGGGAAAAGTTCTATTTACAGAATCCTACTTTACAGTCAGACAAAGTGTTGCATATAACCAATGCTTCTCCAACTGGAGTCAGGCAAAACGTGCTATATTCTGAACAAAATACCTACAAATCAAAATATATATATGTATATGTTTACTGAACACTCTACTACTACCAATCAAAGGCTATGGATCATGAATACTGAATTTCAGCCCAGTACATAAAGAGTTAAGTTCCTGGCTTGTTATTGATATATGTGTGTGTGTGTGTGTGTGTGTGTGTGTGTGTGTGTGTGTGTGTGTGTGTGTTAAGTGCAGTGTACCTGCTAATCCTTGTGGTTTCTTTCCTTACCAGCCAGAAAGTATTGTCTGAACCCATATGCTTCTCTCTTAAGCTTCCTTTACAGTCGCTGTGTTTAAGAAATAGCAGAAACAGAAGTATTATTTTCACCTTTAGCATTCCCCTAAAGTGAAGCAAAGGATCCCTTGTCCCTGACCACAGGGCTGGGAGCTAGCAAAGTAAATTCTAGTGAAGAAATAGATAGTCTAGAATGCTAACCCATCAGTCAGCCAAAACTACAAACTATTTTCCCGGCATTAATCATGATTCCCACACCAGGACTGTGAAAGCTGCAGTAGCTTCTATATAGTAGCCAGGCAATGAATATGTGTTGAGTGAATGAATGAAATGATGAAACAATGTACACTGGGTCAAGGTGAGGTCTGGATGCTGCCTCAAGCCACCTAGAAGTCAATTCCTAAAACTCTGCCCTATCTCCTACTAAATGTTCAGTAGATTTGTATTGATTTATAATAGCAACCACAGCTGTTACTAAGTTTTTCTTACATGTCAAGCGCTAGACTAATTCTCCATCATTTTGTTTAATCTTCACAGCAATGTTAAGCAGTAGGGTTCATCGTTATCCCTGCTGTACAGATAAGAAAAGTGAGGAGGTAATGAGGAGTTAATCTACATGCCCAAGATCCTATGGCTAGAAAGTGATGGAACAGGTTTTCAATCCCAATCGCTCGTCTCTAGAATTTAGCCACTCTGCCCCCTGGGAAGGGAGAAAAGGGAGTTACTGCCTTCCAATTAGTCAAAGCCCATAGGATTTCAACATGCCTCATTCCACCGTTTTTACAGGCTACCCAGAGAAATGGGAGTCGAAGAAGTTAATTCTGAAACCTGAAGCATCACTACCGAATACTTGAGGAGCACAGTGGTAGGCAGTGTACCCAAAACTCATTAAGAACCAAAGGATAGATAAAGAGCTCCAGAAACCCCACAGCTATAAAAACTAAACAGGCCTGAGAGGGAATAGGGTCAGGGATGGATTCCCTGAGACGGTAGCATCTGACAGCCCTGGAAGATAATGGGATTTGGGGAGTGAGGGGAGCCATGTGGGGAAGAACATTCCAGACAGAGGGAACAGCACGTTGAAACCCCCAGCTTCCAACATCACTACTTCCTGCTGTCAGGTTGGTGCAAAAGTATTGTGATTTTTGCCATTGTAAAACAAAGAAGCGGGAAGAACCATCTCGAAGGAAGAATTTCACTTTCCTGCCTTCTCATTCCTGCTGTTAAGACCCAGGAGCCAGGCCTCAACCTACTAAGAGTAATCGTCACAAGCCCAGCACCCAACCTCTGGAGGAACTTTTATGAAGGCATTTACAGGGTGACAGGAAAGAGCCTGGGACAGGCCACCATAATGAGAAGTTTAGAACTCTAGGGTCAAGAGTGGGTATGCACAGGTGCTCAGATCAGAAAAGGCTACACCTCTGCCCTTTTGAATTTAGGAGATTATACATTAGAAGCATATACATCTCCCCAGAGGTTCAGCTTTCATGGGATCCTTTAATTGCTTCAAACTGGCACTGAGCTCCAGTTTATTTATTCATGTGTATTCTAGAATTTCTCACCCAACAACTCCCTGAGTCCCCAGGCAAACCTGGGGCTCTGTTCAAGATGAGTCACTGGAGATCTCCAAGGTGTTCCTCTGGGTTGAGCCAGTCCTGTCCCCAGCAGGGGATGCTGGGAGCAGGTGTAAGGTGTTTATCCTCCAGCCAGGGCAGCCAGAGAAACTGCAGAGGTCACAGAGGGAAGACGGTGGAAATAGTTGATGAGGGCCCCTGGACCATCAAAGGACTGGCATTTTGGATGTGCTCATTAATAGTAATTGGCAGACAAGGCTCCTCAAGGTTATTCTCAGGGAAGGAGGATTAACAAGATCCTTGTTTCTTCATAGCAAAGAACAGTTTCAAAGGCTAGGTTCATAAACTCTGTGCTGCCAAGAATATTGTCCATTCTATTGGTCATGACTCTTCTAATACAGGTAAGAGACCCAACTCAAACTAGCTTTAAGAAAATAAGAAGAAAAAGAAAGAAGAAAGAAAGTAAGAAAGAAAGAAAGAAAGAAAGAAAGAAAGAGAAAGAAAAGAAAGAAAGAAAGAAAGAAAGAAAGAAAGAAAGAAAGAAAGAAAGAAAAGAAAGAAAGAAAGAAAGAAAGAAAGAAAGAAAGAAAGAAAGAAAGAAAGAAAGAAAGAAAGAAAGAAAGAGGAATGATTGACTCATCCAAGTGAGAATTCTAAGGGGACTTCAGGCATGGCTGGGTCAAGGATCTCAAACAATCAACAAGATTTGGTCTCTCTGTGTGTCAGCTCTGCTTTCCTGTGTGGGTGTCACTCTTGAGCATCCTCCTACCACATGATACATTCCCAGCAGCTCCAGGCTTTCACCTTCCCTGCTTCAAATCCAGGAGAAAGAGAAATTCTTTTAAATAGCTCCAAGAAAGATCCCAAGATCAAGTCTCTTCACAGCCTGGTGGCTGAGTTCCAAAGCAAACATCTCAAAAAAGCTATATAATGTCACTTCCACTGTAGTCATGGTCCCACTCAGACTTGGGGGAGGTGGGGGAGGTAGACTCCAGCTTTCAATTGTTGGCATGTCAAGGAAGAGTACATGGGGAAAGACATATTGTTGCAGCCATCTTTGAAAAATACAATCTGTCCCAGTACTTTGGGAGACCGAGGTGGGCAGATCATGAGCTCAAGAGATGGAGACCATTCTGGCCAACATGGTGAAACCCCATCTCTACTAAAAACACAAAAATTAGCTGGCGTGGTGGTGTGTCTCTATAGTCCCAGCTACTCAGGAGGCTGAGGCAGGAGAATTGCTTGAACCCGGGAGGCAGAGATTGCAGTAAGCCGAGATCACGCCACTGCACTCCAGCCTGGCGACAAGAGACTCCATCTCAAAAAAAAAAAAAAAAAAAGAAAAAGAAAAGAAAGGAAAAACACAATCTGCCAGTGACTAGTGTGCACATTCCACTTTGTGAAGCCCTGCACTACAACAATGTTGGGCTCACTGTTTATTTGACACTCTGCTTTCCAAATTTCCTAATATGTACAACCAAAGAAACATAGTGAATGTTATTTATATTGTAAATTCTCCCTCTGTATACAATAGCAAGTAGGAAAACAGGATATTTTTTAAAGTAATCTCCATTTTTCACTTATCTGTTCACTCAGTAAATATTTGTAGAGTGTCACTTACCTGGACAAGGCACAGTCCCAGGTGCTAGGATAGAATGATAAACAGGATGACATGGTCCCTGGTCTTGTGAAGCTCCAGTCCAGCAGGAAAGACAGTTTTTGTAGGGTAATTGCAGCTATAATGATTGTAATGACAAAGGAAATAAATATACCATGGAATCTAAAACAGGGAGCATTCACCTTGTCTTGGGGTTCAGGGAGGACCTGAAAGATGAGTGGGAGTTACTGGTCAGCTGTCACCTTTTTTTTTTTTTTGAGACAGAGTCTCACTGTCTCCCAGGTTGGAGTGCAGTGGTGCGATCTTGGCTCACTGCAAGCTCCACCTCCCGGGTTCACGCTATTCTCCTGCCTCAGCCTCCCAAGTAGCTGGGACTACAGGCACCCACCACTATGCCCGGCTAATTTTTTTGTATTTTTAATAGAGACGGGGTTTCAACATGTTAGCCAGGATGGTCTCGATCTCCTGACCTCGTGATCTGCCTGCCTCGGCCTCCGAAAGTGCTGGGATTACAGGCGTGAGCCACTGCGCCCAGCCAGCTGTCCCCTTCTTATTAAAATTCCCACCACTGGCCCCCACCTACCCACACACCCCATCCCCCTTTCTGGCTTTAGCTTTCTCTATATCTCTTTCCTTCATCTAACATACATATAGTTCATGCATTTATTTTTCTTTATTGTCTTTCTACCCCTACCAGGATATAAGCTCCATGAGGGTGGAAATTTGTGTCTCTCCCTGTGGTATCCCCAGTACCTATGCAAGTGCCTGGCACATAAAAAGCACTCAATTAATATTTTTTAGGTGGATGCAGAGGGTTCCTGGAAGCGGGACTGTCATGCACACAGGACTTGAGAGAAAGAGTGTGGAACTAAAAGGAGAAGTCCAGCAAATCCAGAATGTTGAAGGAGACAGAAAGTAGAGTCCACTACAAATAATCCAATCATGTATTCACCAACTACTTATTGGATGTCTACTACGTGCCAGGCACTGTTCTGGGCATACATTTTGAGCGTTCAATAAAAGGGCAGAATTCATCACTAGGCTTCAATCAATAACTAGGTTTTATATGAACGTGTAGTCAAAACCAGTTTGTAAAGGCACTGCCACAGTGAATTCTGTAAGCTTAATACATCCCTGCTATGGACTGAATTGTGTTCCCCAAAATTCATATATTGAAGCCCTGACTTCCAGCGTGATGGTATTTGGACATGGGACTTGAGGTAACTAGATATAGATAAGGTCATGAGGGTGGGGCCCTCACGATGGGATTAGTGCCTTTATAAGTAGAGACCAGAAAACTATCTCTCTGTCTTTCTCTCTCTCTCTCTCTCTCTCTCTCTCAGTCTCTGTCTCTCTCTCCATCCATCCATCTCCACATCTCCATCACTCTCCTTCTCTCAGATTTACTGCTCTTTGCACATTAGCCTCCTTCCCTCATCTGATGATGGCTTCCTCCAGGTAGTCAGGGAAAATGTCCCCGAGATTCACCAAGTTTATTGTCCTCACTATTTCTTCTCCCAGAGGAAGAGAAACCCTCCCTTTCTCAGGACCTCTATCTGTCCCTAGTGAGAACTCTGATTGACCCTGTTGGAGCATATGCTCCCTTCTGGGCTCATCATGAGACCCAGGAAATTGGAGAACTCTCATTGGCCATCCTGGAGAAGGGCCAAGAAGTGATTGGAGCAGGGAGAAGCGACTTTGATAAAGGAAAAATGAGTGTTGCCAGAAGAAGAGAAAAGGAATACTGGCCAGGTAAGAATTACTGAGATCCCCTGCATCACCCAGTGGCTACTTGCCTCTGGGCCTGTGTCCTCTATGGGACCAAAATGGCATTGCAAATGACAGTGTAATGAAGCCTTCCTCTGCATCTGCCCAATCCTGACACCCTACCCGCCTTCATGCCTCAATCCAAATGCTACCACCTCTGTGAGGCCTTCCCGATTCCCTAAGATCAAAAGTAGTCATCCTGCCCCCATTGTCAAGGATATACACTGGCCAATGATGGTGCTAGGCTCTTACATCATCTCCCAGATCCTCACATCTCCGGGAAATAAGTACGGTTATTGCCCCCTGTATTTGATGGCTAAGGCTGCCGTAACAAAGACTCATAAAAACTAGGTAGCTTAAACAACAGTCATGAATTCTCTTGCTGTTCTAGAGGCAAGATGTCCAAAGTCAAGGTGTCAGTCTGGCTGGTTCCTCCTGAAGGCTGTGAGGGAAAGTCTGTTCCAGGCCACTCCCCAAGCCCTAGGCATTCCTTGGCTTGGAGATGACCATCTTCTCCCTGTGTCTTCACTTCGTCTTCTCTCTGTACATGTCTGTCTCTGTTTCCAAATTTCCCTTCTTATAAGGACAACTCAACTTAGATATTGGATAGATATTGGATTAGAACTAACCTTAAGAACTTCATCTTAACTTGATCATCTGCAAAGACCCTGTTTCACATTCACGGGTACTGATGGTTAGAACTTCAACATCTTTTGGGAGGCATGTGATTCCATCTATTAAGCCCCCCTTTTTTCTCCACATGAGGAAACTGAGTCAGAGAATTTCGGTAATATTCCAGGGCCACAAAGCCAGTAGGCATCCTAGATGCTAAGGCCTGGGGGTCTTAACAACTTCACTATGTCTCTATTCTCGTTTTTCTCCAGAAATTTCATCTCTCTTCAGAACACTCAACAGACTCAACAGGACACTATTTATGGGATTCGTGTATAATTTTGCATCACCCGTCTAGACTGTAAGCTCCTTTAAAACAGGAATTGAACCTATTATTTCTTTTTTTTTCTTTCTTTCTTTTTTTTGAGACGGAGTCTCACTGACTCTGTCACCCAGGCTAGAGTGCAGTGGTGGGATCTCAACTCACTGCAACCTCCACCTCCCAGGTTCAAGCAATTCTCCTGCCTCTGCCACCCATGTAGCTGGGGTTACAGGAATGCACCACCATGCCTGGCTAATTTTGTGTTTTTAGTAAGAGACAGGGTTTCACCATGTTGGCCAGGCTGGTCTCAAACTCCTGACCTCGAACGACCCACCTGCCTCAGCCTCCCAAAGTGCTGGGATTACAGGTGTGAGCCACTGCTCCTGGCCTGAACCTATTGTTTCTGTTTCCCCAGCCCACCCAGCAAGGGCCCGGTCAACAGCTCTCAGATGAATAGAGGTGAACACCAAAATCAGAGGAAAAGGTGGCTGGTGTTCTTCCTGGAACATTTCATTTTTGAACCAGAGAAGGCTCATCTTGAAGCGTTAATAAAGAAGCTTTTATTTGTCCCTTTGGCTTATTCATTCTCTCAACAACTATTTAATGATCCCCTCCTATGAGTCGAGCATACTGCTAGGCACTGAGATAAATCAGGCAGAACCTACACCCTCTTAGAGCTTACAACCTGGTAAACAAGACAGATGAGTCAATAGATCCTTCTAATGCAATATCTCAGGGAGCACTTATTTCTCAAGTAAAGATTGTTTTGGAGTCAGGAGTCCTCAGAAAAACAATGAAGTCAGGACTTGCCTTCTAAGGCAAGGACTTGAACGACTTCTAAGAAGTTGGAGAAGAGGCCCTATAAGCCAGAGACCATCTTAAAACATCAAACTACAGGTCAGGCATGTTGGTTCACAACTGTAATCTCAGCACTTTGGGTGTCCAAGTCGAGGACATCACTTGAGCCCAAGAGTTTGAGACCAGCCTGGACATCATGGCAAGACTCTGTCTCTACAAAAAATAAAACTAAATTAGCTAGTCATGGTGGTGCCTGCCTGTGGTCCCAGCTACTTGGGAGGCTGGGGTGGGAGGATTGCTTGAGCTCTGGAGTTTGAGGCTGTAGTGAGCGGTAATCACGCAACTGCACTCCAGCCTGGGCAATAGAGTGAGACTCCACCTCCCAAAAAACCATTAAACTATAATACAAGAGAATTCCAGCAAATAATCTCCTTGCTCCTGGTATGGCAGAGAGCCAGACTGAAAAGAGTATGCTTGAGACACTACCTTGGAGCTTGGTCTAAGCCAGCAAACCATAGAAAAACCTCACATAGGTTTCAAATCCAGGCAAGCCTGGGTTCAGATACAGACTCTACTACTCATTAGCTACATGCAGTTAGGGAAATCTCCTAATCTTTGTCTTAGTTTCTTCATCTATAAAATGGGATGATAATAACAAATTGACCCAGTTCTTATGTGGATTAGGTGAAACAAATACACAAAGGACATCCTGTAGTAGAAAAGGCTCTATAAATGTCATCAAAGCAGATTTTGGACATATCAGACCTGGGTTTGAATTCCAGCTCTGCTCAATGCCACCTTGGGAAGCTACTAGACCTCACTAAATCTCAGTTCCCCCCTTATAAAATAGGGAAAATAATGATCTGCCTCATGGAGTTGTTATGAGATTCATGGAGTAAATATATAAAACACTTAGCACATAAAGGTGAGTCATTGCTCTGTTTTTCCTGTCTATGTGGCCCTGTAGCTCTTGCTATTATCTCCTGTTTTTTTCCCATCTTCTTGTCTGGGATTCCTAGATGAGCTCTGACTATTTCCTTTTCTTTTCTTTTTTAATCGTGATAAAATATATATAACACACAATTTTCCATTTTAACCCTTCTTAGATATGCACTTCAGCAATGTGGCGTATATTCACAATGCTGTGCAACCATCATCCCCATCCCTCTCTAGAACATTTTAATCATCCCAAACTGAAACTCTGTACCTATTAAACAACACCAACATCCCCTGCCCCCGCATTCCTCCTCCACTGTCCCACACCAGCAACTACCATTCTATTCTCTATTTCGATGGATTGACTCTTCTCAGCATCTCATGTAAGTGCAATCATACAGTATTTGTCTTTTTGTGGTTGCCTTTTTCACTTAGCGTAATGTCTTCAAGGTTCATCCATGTTGTAGCATGTGTCCAAATTTTATTCCCTGACCATTTCTTTTCAAGTTCAAGTCCATTTGTTTTTCCCTTCTCCAACTCAGGCCACCCCTCTGCCAATTGGAAATATGGAGGCATAATAACACACAAGACAGCATCTGTGTACAAACGAAACACAAACTGTCTTCTTCCTGACTACAAAAGTAATGCATATTCTTTCCTATGGAGCATTTGATGACAGTTCCAAATTCCTCTGAAGGCCACATCAATATCATCCATGCCCCTTGGATGAGGAATGTGTTTCTTGCAGGGAATGGCTTTGTTAGTTTTTCATCCTATAGGGTGGGGCAGGTCTGAAGCAACAGGCAGCTTCTAACCAATGTTTATTCCAAGCAACACCATCGCATATCAACAAATCTACATTCACTGCGTCACCTATCTTTCTCTGGATCCAAAGCTGAAAACACCCTATTGCTCTTCTCCTTTGGGACATAAATATTTCCTTGATCCTATTAATTTTTTAAAATAGATATTGTTGTGGGGTTTGAAACCACTCTATCATGCTAATGAGCTTGGCCTTGCCTGCCCACCACCTCCGTCCCAACCCCAGAGACTCATCCATCACTGGTTCACTGGCTGGGCTTTGGGAGGCTTACCCTGTACTCCTACCCCACCCTGCCCCCAGGAGCTATCATGGAAAAGATTGTGCAGTGTTGCCTGTAACAGTGGAAAGTGGAAGCAGCCTAAACATCTGACACTAAGAAATTAGTTAAATAAATGGAAGCACACTCATAAAACAGAATAGCATGGAAGCTGTTACAATTATGGTGAAGAGCAAAAAAGCATGGAAAGGTATTCAGAATAATCCCATTGTGTGTGTGTGAATATGAGTGTGCATGTGTGTGAACCTTCACTATGTGAAGCAGAATTACTGTGACTTTTCTTGTCTTCTTTGGCCTTGTCTCCATTTTTTGTGTTAGATTCCCAGGGCTGCCATAACAAATTATCACAAATTTAGTGGCTTACGAAAACAGAAATTTATTTTCTCACAGTTCTGGAGGCCAAAAGTCCCAAAACAAGATATCAGCATGGCCATGATCCCTCCAAAGGCTCTAGCAGGGAGCCCCTTCCTTGCCTCTTCCGTTTCTGGTGGCTGCCAGCATTCCTTGACTTGTGTCCACATACTCATTTCTCTGCCTCCACATCACATGGCTTCTCCTCACCTTCTCTTCTTCCAAGTGTCTGTCTGTAAAATCCCTCTGCCTCACTCTTATAAGGATACATGTGACTGCATTTAGGACCCACCCAGATCATCCAGGATAAACTCTTTTTCTCAAGATCCTGAATTTAAACACATCTTACTTACTCCTGACCACATAATGTAATATTCACAGGTTCCAGGGGATTAGGACATGGACAGATCTTTTGGGGATCCACCTTTCAGCCCAATTCACCTTATAATCAACAAAAAGAAACTTCATGTTTTCTTTTTAAGGACTCACTAGTTCGCACATGATTTTAGTTGGAATCCCCACTGCCTGGCTCATGATGGACACAAAGTAAATATTTGTTGAAAGAATGAATAAACTGCCCAGAGTAGGCACTGTGTTCAGTGTGAGAAATTATAAGTGGTTTCTTTCCTCTTTAATTTTTCTTTGTTATTTTTTATTACTACTGTTTTCAGATGCCAAAAAAGATATTTTCTTCTCCCTTTAAAGCTAGGAAGCTAACACTTTCCTGGAGTCCAATATTATAGCACAGGAGGGGGTTTCAGTTTTCTTGGTCTGTCTCCATCCAAAGAGGGTAAATACATGAAGAATTCTCACTCTCGGTGCCCTCCCACCCAGTTTCATTTCTGCAGCCACTTCACAGCAACGTGAAGCCAGACACTGACGTTTTAAGACAGGATCTCTTGTCATTTTGCTCTTCTCCCTTCTGGCACTGGGAACATTGCTGAGCACCAGAGCCAGAGGCTGAGCACCTGAGTGAGATTTATTACCCAGTCTCCCACCTGAGAACCCCTTCCACACAACATACCCCTTAATCCCATTTAAGCAAATAGCACTAAATCTCTACAGGGTCTAGTTTAAGAATGATGAATTGATGCGATTATGCTCCGCCTGCCACACACACACGTGCACACATACACACGCACATTGCAAATTGATTGTGACAATCTTTACATGGAGCAACAAGAGCCTTCTAAACACAGCTCCTTGGGCATCCATGGCCATTGGTCCAATTTGACATGTGAGAGAAAAGCCATTTGCCATTCCTCATCTAGCCTTGGTGAAGAATATCTCTTCATTATCAACAAACAGAAATAAATTGAGCTCCTAATGCTTGTAGGGTTTTACAACCCAGATGTGGATTCAGGGAATGGGATTCAGGGAATGTACAAAAAAAGAGACACAAGGCAAGCCCGGTGGCCTGAGCTAAGGGCCAAAAATGTGATGTACTCAATGTTTTGGAGTAATTGAGATGTCGGTGGAGGCCGTGAGGGCTCCAGGAAAACTGCGGGGAAAGTTAGACTAAAGAAGACCATGAGGCTGTGTGGGAATAAGATTTAGATGAGTGGAGGGGGGTGACAGGTTGACCAAAGTCTCAGAAATCACCACTAAAGTACTTATCCATGTAACCAAACACCACGTGTTCCCCAAAACCCTATTGAAATACAAAAACTAAAATAAAATAAAATGGGCTGGGCATTGTGGCTCACACCTGTAATCCCAGCACTTTGGGAAGCTGAGGCGGGTGGATCGCCTGAGGTCAGGAGTTCAAGACCAGCCTGGCCAACATGGTGAAACCCTATGTCTACTAAAAATACAAAAAATTTGCTGAGCGTGGTGGCAGGCACCTGCAATCCCAGCTACTCGGGAGGCTGAGGCAGGAGAATCGCTTGAACCCAGGAAGCAGAGGTTGCAGTGAGCCAAGATCGCACCATTGCACTCCAGCCTGGGCAATAAGAGTGAAACTCCATCTCAAAATAAATAAATAATAAAATGAAATAAGATGAGTGGAGGAAAATTGAGAGAAGAATTCAGACCTCAAGAAGAGTGTGACCTAAAGCTCAGAGACAGACAGGAATGCATGGGGTGTCTTCCGGGAATAGACAGCAAATCAATTTAGCTGACACCAAGGTCATTCAGGCTCCTGCCCAAAGGTCACCTCTTCAGAGAGGCCTTCCCCGACCAGTCCAGCTAAAACAGAGACTTTGATTTTCTTCCTTGTCATCTAGACTATGAGCTCCACCAAGACAGAGACCTTGTCTATTGCATTCCCCACAGTGCTCCCAGCATCTGGGACATCTTCTGCTCAGAAGATATTCATTGAATGAGTGAAGGGACCAAGGGCTCCTGCAGGGGCACTTGCAGGAGCTCAGTATGGAGAAATATGTGGGTTCAACTGCTATTGCCTTTGAATATCAAACTAAGGACTTTGGCCTACTGAAGAGTATTCCCATCCAACTCCATGGGATGTACTAGGTCAAAAACAGGAATGTCATGCTAAGGACACTTTTGGAATACTGGCCTAAACAAAGTTTAACGTTTTTTTCCTGTAGTTCTTTCATACACATTTACCATATCACTGTGGATATCCAAGTGTGCCCAAGTATTAATACATAGCACCCTTTTTTTTTTTTTTTTTTGTGGACACCAAGTCTCACTCTGTCATCCAGTTTGAAGGGCAGTGGCATGATCTCAGCTCACTGCAACCTCTGCCTCCTGAGTTTTCAAAGGATCTTAGTGCCTCAACCTCCCAAGTAGCTGGGAATACAGGCACGCACCACCACGCCAAGCTAATTTTTGTGTTTTAAGTAGAGACAGGGTTTCCTCATGTAGCCAAGGCTGGTCTCGAACTCTTGGGTTCAAGCAATCCACTCCCCTCAACCTCCCAAAGTGCTGGGATTACAGGCATGAGCCACCACAGCCAGCCCCTTTTCCCTTTTTTTTTTTAATACATCACTCTGATGACACTTTGGGAAATAGAGCTGCAGAAAATGGGAAGTTTTAAAAATGCTGGAGTGGGAGGTTTATGCATACACAATGACATGTTAGGATTAACCTGATAGTATAGATTGGCAAAGGGGAGGGACTTGAAACAGGGAGCCCAGTTTGGGGAATATAGCAGGAGTCATTCCCTCAATTAGTAAGCCACAAATATGATGTGCCAGGTACTGTTCTAGAAAATGAGGATAGTGTAAAAACCAAAACAAAGTCCACTCCACATGGACAGGGCAAAAACATGTTCTGGTTTGCCTAGGACAGTCCCAATTTCTGTTTTTTGGCCCTATATCACTATTAAATAGTGCCATATTTATTCTCAAAAGTGTTTTGGTGAAGTTAATAAACAGTCACCCAACTCATGGAGCTTACCTTCTATAGAAGAGATCATGAAGTTAGCCCACCTGGTGCCTCTGTGTAAATTAGACAGAGGGTCTTCCTCTGGGCAGACAGAGCTCACAGGTGTGTAGTTGGACAAGTAGATATGCCCCTTGTGCAAAGTGAATAAAAACCTTTTTATGGAACGCTTGGCCTGGGAGGCAGAGCTCGGTGTGCATTTCTGCCTCTGTTCCCTTATCAGGTGCAGGGATTTGCCCTCCAGGTGCGGATTCAGGAATGAAACAAAAAGACACAAGGCAATGACTGACCTATCCCTATATGTAGTGAACAGCCTGCATAACAACTAGTTGATGTCCAGAAGATGATCAATAAGCAAATAAATATATAAGCAAATACAATGTCAAATAGTGGAATGCACCCTGAAGAAAACGAAAGTGAAATAGGGACCCTGAGAACGATGAGGGCAGCCATCCAATGTGCACAATTCCAAAAAGCACCCATTGCATTGTGGTCTATGGAAATGGCACCCTTGGGATTGAGCAACATGGCCACCCTGACAGGAGGTGCTATTTTAGAGAGGGTGGTGAGGAAAGGCCTCTCTGTGGAGGTGATAGATAATCTGACACTGACTGTAAGAAAAGAGGGATAAATATGAAAGAAACATCACAGTCAATGTGACATGGTGGCTGGTTTCATGCAAGGGCTTGGGGAATGAGTGTTCAAGAGGACCTCAAGCTTCATGCCTGAGAAACTAGGGAAATGAAGGCGCTGCTCAGATCTGCCCAACATACCGAGCCTGCCACAAGTGGGTGGTGCAGGGAACACACCGGCTAGTGAAACAGGCACAGTCCCTTCTCTTGGGGAGTGGACTATCTCAATGAGGATTTCCCAATGTGCGTCTGGTGGAACACTAGCTGGGTGGTATGCTAATGGGTGTTACGAGAAAGAGTTGCCTAAATAAGTTTGGAAAATGCTGGGCTAAGCAAAATTAAACAGGTTTCTTTACTGAAAGGCTTCTTGGAGCTTTTAATAAGCTGATACGCTTTGTGAACCCCAAGCAGGGAATATGGAGGTCAGCGCCTCCTAACTTAGCTGCCCAAGGAAATTTTTCTTTGCAAGGTATTTCAGGAGGCTCATGTTCCCAGGGAGGGAAACTGGGCTCTAGACAAATGTCAGGTAGGCCAGAATAAAAAATAGAGTCAGGGGGCTGGGCACGGTGGCTCACGCCTATAATCCCAGCACTGTGGTAGGCTGAGGCAGGTGGATCACGAGGTCAGGAGATCGAGACCATCCTGGCTAACACGGTGAAACCCCATCTCTACTAAAAATACAAAAAATTAGCTGGGCGTGATGGCAGGCACCTGCAGTCCCAGCTACTCGGGAGGCTGAGGCAGGAGAATGGTGTGAACCCGGGAGACAGAGCTTGCAGTGAGCGGAGATCGCACCACTGCATTCCAGCCTGGGTAACAGAGCGAGACTCCGTCTCAAAAAATAAAAATAAAAAAAATAGGTCAGGGAAGGGATATGGGAGAGACACAGCCAGCAGAGATAAGGGAGCCACCTCGGTGCCTTCTGCACAGCCCCAAGGAGGGAAGGGGTTGGATCCCACAGCTTCATGGGGCAGAGGTGCCTGTGGCTGTCCCCGCAGGCCTGGCTTTACCCAAGCTCCAGTGGTAACTTCTGAGTCAGCCCCACTCAGGACCAAGTTTAGCCTCTGACTGACTGGCTAAAGTGGTTGTCTGACCTCCCTAGGCCTCCACTTGCCCTTCTATAAAATGGGGATACAAATATTGCCCTCCCTCTCCTGAGTGGCACGAGGCTGTGATAATTACTATTTGGCAGGGTGCTGAGGTACTGACAAGCCCTGTCTGACACATTTCTTTCTGGCTCCTCCAGACGCTGCACACCTCACCTCCACTGGAGACCACAGACCCATCAGCAGCACACGGAGACTTCAGCCACTCACCACAGAGCAAAAGTCTCTCTCTGGCTGTCTCTCTCCGTGGTAGCTCATGTCAAAACGAAAGACTTGCCTAACCCTCTGCTGACCCCTGGGCATTGTGGAGGTGGAAGAGCCGTCTGTCAGCTGCCACTCCAGGACCCTGCTGCGCCTGGGAGGCTGCTCGGGGCCGGGACACCCAGGGGTGGTGTCCCCTGCCTGGAGGCAGCCATGCAGTGTCCTTCTCACTGAGGAGGAGGGGTCGATCCAGCCGGGGCCCTCACAGGGCTGGGTGATGACTACATTGGAGGACCCGAGTCCAGCCCAGCCTGGTGGGACGAAGGAGCTGAGGTGGGTGCTGTGCGGGTCTGAGTGTGCAGGGAGAGGAAAGGGCACCTGGGGGGAGAGGAAATGCTGGGGTCCAGCGGGCAAAGCTGCCCTTGCCCCAAGCCATCTGCCAGGGAGGAAGAAGAGATGGCTCTCCTAGCAAGTGGCAAGGAAACTAAGGCCCTTTTCCTTACACCTTAGCCTGCAAGCCAGCCCCCAATGCCCTCCTAAGGGGTGGGACAACCCTCTTTAGGAAGCAGGACCATCTTTCATAGCTACTTTTTCCTATTTAGTCTGCCTGTGTGATGCATTTTTACTTTTACCCAATTTCATCCAGATAGGGAATGCCGGGAGTCACAAAGCTATGCACGGCACACTGGAGCTTGGGCTGGAGTCTCTTGGAGACAGCTCTGCATGTGGCTAACGTATGGCCTGGCCCCAGGTAGAAGAATGGAAACAGATGTCGGGTCTCCTTGCATGATTTTGAGATGCCAGTGTGCCCACCTGCAGAGTGGGACCAGAATGTGAGCTCATTCAGTTGGCTAGAATCAGAACTCATTCCCGTGTCTTGGGCATTTTACTGTGATCCAGTCATTCATATTGATGCATACCTTGCTTGTCTGTACAGACGTGCCTTCTGCTCAGCCCAAAAACATCCGCTTAGATAGTGGACTTTTGTTTGCATCCTTGGCTAAATTCAGCTGCTGTAAAAAGCATAAGATAGAGCTGAGACTCATGAGGATGCCGATCCAAATCTCCAGGCCCTTGGTATTGAACGCCAGTTTAAAATCAAGATTTCTTAATTCCCGAAAAATGGGAAGTGGGGTCGGGGCCGGGGGGGTGGCGGACAGGAGAGGGGCCAGATTAGGGGCCTGTCTAGCTGTTTCCAGACGCATGCCTTCTTTAAAAGTAGTCGCTGTCTTTAGCCCTAGCATGTTACCGACTGACTTGTCAATGTCAGGGTAGCCACGCAAAGAATCTCCGGCATGTCATTAACCTCGTTCCAACATGTAATTAGCCTGAAAAGCCTCCTTGCTGCCTCCATTCAGCATTACATCATAAAGAATAAGATATTTTACTATTTGCAGCACACGGTGAAGACTTTAAAGAGTTAATTATGGCTCACTGGAGTCCGTCCCCAAGATCCCAAGACCCAGAAATTAAACTGATTATTTTCAAATGTCAGTCTTCAAGAGAGCATTCCAGGCAACCTCCTCTGTGGAATCTGAGGTTGACGCTGGTTTGCAAGGTGACCCACCAGGATACACAAGGGTGGGTTGGAGGAGGTTATTTGATTTCGGCCTTCCTCTTGTATTTGGCCATGTATTTTCAGAGATCGCATCATCTGTACAGGCTTGGAGAGAAAAGAAAAGCAAGGAGAGCTGGAATTCTACTTACCTTCTTGGTTCCGTGGGGTGAATCCACCTAAAGCCATCTGTAATCTCTGAGCTGGAGAGACCAGCAATGTGGCCAGAGTTCAAAGGGAGTTCAGCTGTAATCTGGATGTTACAATCTGAGCCAATCTAACCATGCAGGCTCTGAGGACATTATTATCAGTCAAGTGTAATTATAGATAAAATAGTTTTATTAATCGGCTTCCTAAGGGGACTGTGTTTATCTGATGGCTGTGTGTATGATGTGTGCATGGGAGAAGAGGGAGGGGTCTGTGCTGTGTGTGGTTGGTCTGTACGGTGGGGAGGACAGGGTGTCTGTGGGGAGAGTGTGGTGGATGTAGGGGGTGTGTCTAGGTGCTAGGTGAACTCTCTGTATGAGGGATGGAAGTGTATGTGGTAGCACTGACAGCATGCACACATGCATGTGTGTGTCTGCTTGCCCAGGTTTATTCAGCTGGACTTGAAATTGTGCCTGTTTTATCCACTATACCTTGGATTTGTCATCACCCTTTTCCCAAAAAAGAGGCTTTTCTATATCTGTACAATAATTAGCTAGAGTCTATAGAGTTCCTAGTTGCAAACTCCACCTGCAGATGCCCTCCTTGGCTGCTAACTGTCAGCCAAATTTTCAAATCTTATCTCCAGACCTATCATGGTTTGTCTTAAATGTCCATCACCTTAAAAATGTTTGTCAGTTGCAAAGTATCTTGAATGGGTAGGGCTCCTCCTGAATATTGTTTGGTCTGGCCTAAAGTCAACTTCACTCAGCACTGGGTAGGAAAAATGAACTTTCAGGGCCCAGAACTGCAGGTTTGATTTAAATTTGATCAGGCATCAGTGGGGAGGTGGGTATCCAGTAACACTCCGAGGCTAGGTTCCCCCACAGTGAAGCTGAAGGCCGAGAAACTGCCCAGAGACTGTGGAACAGGCACAGCCAGCCTGGTTGCCTCTGCCCTTCCTGGCAATCTACCTGAATCATTAGTGCCTGGACCAGGCCTCTCCACACACAGCCTTTTTCTGCTGGCTGACTGTGCAACTTGCTGCTCACCCTAGCTGGAACACTTGACCCAAATTATTCCCCACTTCAGAGGGCCTTGTGCAAAATCTGCCCTCTGCCTTTAACTTGGCCCAAAATGACAGCTGAAACCTGGGGTGGATACAGCCTGAAAGCCAGAAACACCAAGTGGCTGCTTCCTTCCTGTAGAGGTAGATAGCATCCATTCTCCCATGGGCACCTCAAAAAGGCAAACTCACCAAAGCCCCACTATTAGGACTTCTGATGTCACACCTGTTGGCCACTCTGCAGAGTGATTTGCTGGGATTCCTGGAGTTTCTTTGCTCCCAGAAAGGCACATAAGGGCCCGGGGGAAAAAGAACAGTTTAGATAAGGAAATAAACATTTTATAAAACTACTGCTCCATTTAAGATGAAAGAGGACTGTTGGCCAAATAAAGTGGCCTTCTCCTAACTCCCAGGGTTTGTAAACTTTTGATGGATTCCAAATAAACTAAAGATGAAAAAATGGATGAATGAATATCTACCATGTGCCAGACACATACACCTTTATTATTTCAATTGATCTAGTGAGTAGTTAATATTATTTTCATTTTGCTAATTTAGAAATGGAGACATCACAGTAATAATCATTTATTGAGTATTTAATATATGCCAGGCACTGGGCTAAGTGCTTCATATATTACATATACCATGTTATCTCATTTAATTGTCACCAAAACTGTATGAAGTGACAATTTATTTTCAGATGAAGAAACCAAGTCTCAAGGAGATAAGTAACTTGGCTACCAAGGGATAGAACTGAGATTTGAACCTACATCAATTAGACTCAAATCCCAGTGCTCTTTCTGTTACTGGTTTTTCTTTAACTGCCTTCTTATGTAGCTTATGTTCCTTGCAAAACCATGGATATCTTTTTAAATTATTGCATCACTCAAAAATATTCAGCCAAGTTCCACATCTCACTGGTTCTTTGGAACCAGAGAGATATCACTGTCCATACAACATGAAACAGAATCCTACCCATCTCCCTTCACACATTGAGAAAGAATTAAAACATAGTTTCATGAACAGGGATGTGGGTAAGAGTGATGTCCAGGACATTGAAGACACCTGTCCAATTGCTTCACAATAATTTCCAAAAATTCCAATCCCAGACACTTACCTTAGGGGTGGACAAGTTCTAAGGGGAGCCCACTTAGGCCTACGGCTTGGGGTACAAGTGAGTCCATGTTGACATGAACCTGTGGGTGAGTCTTGGCAGCTTCTCAATTTTGAGGCCTCTCCCCTTGGATGTGTCAGTACCAGAATCATTGGATTTCTGTTGAGATATGATGTTAAACTCTGTAATAAAGTGACACATCAGAAAACTTCATAATAGTTTTGTAAAAGCATAATACCTAAATTCTTATACCATTCTGTGTTTGCAACAGAGACTTTCTCTAAACAAGTTCCCAAACAGAACCAAACTCAGGAAATTTCAGTGTATGATTTGGACACGTAAACTTTTTAATGGCCAATGAAACTGTGGAAGATGGTAAAAGATTGCAAAGACATGGATAAAAACAACAACAACAACAGTACGGGCCGGGTGTGGTGGCTCACACCTGTAATCCCAGCACTTTGGGAGGCTGAGAAGGGCAAATCACATGAGGCCAGGAATTAGACACCAGCCTGGGCAACATGGTGAAACCCTGTCTCTACTAAAAATACAAAAATTAGCTGGGTGTGGTGGTGTGAGCCTATAATCCCAGCTACACAGGAGGCTGAGGCATGAGAATTGCTTGAACCCAGGAGGCAGAGGCTGCGGTGAGCCGAAATCACAACACTGCATCCCAGGCTGGGTGACTGAGTGAGATTCTGTCAAAAGGAAAGGAAAGGAAAGGAGAGGAGAGGAGAGGAAGAAGAAATGAAAAGAAAGAAAGAAAGAAAGAAAAAGAAAGAAAGAAAGAAAGAAAGAAAGAAAGAAAGAAAGAAAGAAAGAAAGAAAGAGAGAGAAAGAAAGAGAGAAAGAAAAAGAAAGAAAGAAAAGAAAGAAAAAGAAAGAAAGAAGAGAAAGAAAGAAAGAAAGAAAGAAAGAAAGAAAGAAAGAAAGAAAGAAAGAAAGAAAGAAAGAAAAACAGTGTGACTCCCAGAAAAATGTAGGAGTCATATTTTATTTTTTGGGGGCAAGAGTAAGAGCAGAATCAAAGCTGGTGACAAAGTCTCATTTTGCTGCCCCACACAAGTTTGCTCCTAAATAGCAGACAAAATCAGAGGCCTTTTCAATATTGAGGTCCCCATTAACAGTCAGAGGTCCCCTTGTTCATAGGTGCTGATATTCCAGACACATGATTCACAACTTACCCAGGACTGTCACATAGTGACACATGTAAGACTTCCTACTCCCATGAGTAGGAAGTAGCAGTCATGAGCTATCCATGCCTACTCTCTCCTTCCATGCACGGCCAGGTTTCCTCTTGATTGAAAGCGCCCCCAAGACACTGCAGAACACAGTGGCCAATGGGCCTGAGCTTTGAGTTAGGTTATCCTAGGATTGAATCCCAGCTCTGCTACTTAGGTGTGTGACCTGGGGCAAATTACTAAAGCTCTTTGAGCCTCAGTTTTCTCTTCTGTAAAATGGGTATAATAACAGCCCCACTCCTACAGCTATTGTGCTTGGCACATAATAAGCATCCATTTCTAGCAGGTCACCCCAATCCTTCATCACCCAACTCAAATGCCAAATCCCACAGAAAGTTTTTTTCTGGCTGCTCCAGCACTATTAGCTCCTCTTCTCTGAAGTCCTACAGCCCCTAGTTCAAAATTTGGCTTGAAATTAATTAATGCCTCTCAATATTTCTTCTTGAATTCTCTGTTAGGTTATCTATTCCTTGAAGGCCACAACTAGGTCTTACTCTTTTTCACATCCCTCTTATTGATATTAAATACTGCCCTATTGGGTTTTTTATTGTTGTATTTATCAAATTCACATTTTAACATTTCTGAAATCAGGACAAGCTTTATTATCTATCTGCATATTTAACATAGCGCTTCCTCTAAGACAATTGTTTAAGTCGATGACGTATCTTATAACCAACAACATCTTAGCATTAAGTCTTGTTTGACTGATGAGGCTAGATCTGCGTGGATCCAGCATCACTTCTCACCTCCCATGCTCCATCTTCACATCCTTCCACTCCCATCTTTTGACCAAGGACATGCCTACGGGTGACAGTCAGCAGGAGTGAGGTGTTTAGTCTAGAGCTATGGAAGCCAATGTGTGTGGTCACACATGTTATCAAGCTGCATGTGCGATCATTCACACTGGACAGGTGAGGAAACAGGTTCAGAAAGTTACCTTCTCTCAGCAAGTCCAGTGTTCGCTTGCCTGCAAAAAGAGTAAGTGTTTAATAATTGTATGATTGATAATCTATTGATAACCTTCATTAGCATGAATCCCAGATTCGTCAAGCTAATTAGCCTGATCGAGAGGGACCACCCCATTCACTACCCAAGATTCCAATGGCAACACTGTTAGCCCAGTCCGTCCTCTAACAACAGTATGGGCTGGCCACAGGAGTCGTCCATTCCTCAGACTACCATCCCAAACAACTCTCTCAGAAAGCACACCTCATGTCTGCCACTTCCTATGTGTGGTAGGAAAACATCTAAAGAAAATCCTGTCTTCAGGAATCCTTCCTATGAGAAGGGTCCTCTTGGCTGTGCCTCTCAGATCTGTGCTTTTATAGAGGCATTATGGCTTCAGATTCACGGGGCTTACCCAAAATGTAGAAACCTCTAATAGATTGACTTCCAGTGTCTTTACTGGAAGAAGAAAGACCAGCAATATGGTCATGCAGTTGCATCAACTATTTCACAAACATTATCATAATTAAACCTATAACTATAAAATCATATTTTTGTTACAGATTTTAATGAAATCAAATTCTGTCATTTTATATTACAATATTCCCCATTGACTTTGCCATTGTTTAACCTCCAGGGTGCCTTCAGTACTGGAAATAACAGAGACCTTTACTGTCCTGAGGCTCATAGCCAAGGAAGGGTTATTAAGAGGGCCACCTAACTGTTGCTTCGATTGAATCGGGGCTTCTGGTCAGGAAGATGGTAGCATGAACAGCTAAAGAGTGAGTTGGATGTAGGAGGATGAGGGAAAACACCCAAAGAGGAAACAAAGCAAAGAAAGAAATCTGACCAATCAATCAACCAATTGACAATCAACGAATGAGAATTGCTTAAGCACCTACTTTTGCACAAGTCTGTGCAAGGCATTTGGGGGGACAAAAGATTCATGACTCTTGTCCTTGCTTTCAAGGATCCTACCAGCAATTTGGGATGTTTAAGAAAATTGGTATCTCTTCAACTTAGATTCTGCCTCACCGAGAGGTACCAAATGGTAGCATAATGGTAAAGCTTGTGGACTCTGGTGCATAGGCTCCATATATGGTGCATTGGTGTATCCTGCAGAGGCTCCAGTACTGCTTTAAGCTTCATGTGCTATGTGATATTGGGCAAGTTACTTCAACTCTCTATCCCTGTTTCCTCATCAGTAAATTTTAGGTGATAATAATGGTACCTACCTCGGAGGAATGATATAAGGATTAAATGACTTAATACCTGTAGCATGCCTAGACAGTTCTTTGCACCCGGTAAATGCTCAGCAAATGGTAGCTATTATGATTATTCATTGTGGAAGAGGAAGGGCAACATTATCCTACTTGTTATGGTAATGCCCAAAGGTTGGGGCTCTCAACCAATATCTGTGTCTCTCTCTATAGCCCATTACAATAACTGCCATTTATTGAAATTTACCATGCACCAAGAATCATAGTAGTAGATACTTCACTGGTGAGGAAATTGTGACCCTGAAAAGCTGATAGCTCATCTAATGTCTCCCAGGTGGCAGGTGCTAGGAGTTTGTTGTTATATACACCCACTGACAGAAATCTTTTTGTTCCCAAATATTTGAGCCAATAGAGCATAGAAAATTGCATTTTCTCCAACAGACTCTTTTCTAAAAATAATATGAGAATAATAGTGACAGGGGTCTAATCCAAAGCCAGTGCATTTCACCATCACACTGTAAATCTCTCCTTCCAATGGTATTATCTGTGAATTTACCTAAACTTGTTTTTCTAACTCGCTTTTGTTTTCAGCCTGTGCTGCCTCTTGGGATGGTGGTGAAGTTGGCAGGTTGAGGGAAAAAATAAATGACAAAGAAATGTTCACCTTGGTTAAAGAAAGCAAGTTCTAGGAAAAGCATCTGAGATGTGAAGCCTGTTATATGTAGTGAAAAGAATAGGATGGAAGCCTCCAGCCTCTGTCAGATGGTATGCCCTTTAAGTCACATGATTTTATGATCCATGTAGGTATTGAGTGCGTTCTTGATCCCAAGAACGATACTAGGCACCAGATTCAGTGAGGTACCAGAATTTCCACTCTATACTAACAGAAAGATTGTGCCAGCAATAACCATGAATCCTAGAAATCTTGAGCCAACAGAGACAGATGGGCCACCTTTTAGGCCAGTGTTGAGGCCAGAGCAAAAGAAGAGAGGCCAACTTAAGCTCCTGTTTCCACAGCTTGCCTTTAACATTGGTCAGGCCTGAGTTCAGTGCAGGTTTGGCCACTGACCAACTGGGTGAGCCTCAGCAATCATGGCACCTCTGTTTCTTTGTCTTAAAAAAGAAAATAGTGATAGCTACCTCCCACGATAATTGTGAAAAATTACCAAGGAAATACAAGTGAGTCATCCCAGCACAATACTTGGTACATCATAGATGCTCTTTAGGTGTGATTCTCTCCTCCCTATCCGCAAAGAACTGCCCCAGGAGCACCCAGAAACTGATTAGCACAACAGTTAAGAGGATGGGCTCCAGAGGCAGGCAGCCTAGACTAAAATACTTGCTCTACCACTTAGCTGTGTGACCGTGAACAAGTTACTTAACCTCTCTGTGCCTCAGTTTCCTCATCTGTAAATTAGAGATGATCAGTAACTTCCTTGTCGAATATGTATGAAAATTTAATGTAAGGAATATAACAGGTCAAAATGTAAATAAGCCACACTTAGTTAGGGCTCCTTCTACTCCCCAAGTTTTCACTCATTTAATTCACACAACAACCCTACAGGAAATGTATTCCTTTTTTCCCATTTTACAGATGAGGCAACTGGGATGCAGAGATGTTCAATAGGCTTCCCAGACTCACCCAGACAGCAAATGGCAGATCAGAGATTCAAACTTGGGAAGTCTCCTTCCAGAATCTGTTTTCTTAGCCACTACGTTACAATTATAAGCCCAATTGGTGTTACTTAATATTGCTGTATAGCCAGGACACCAGAAGCAGGATAGGCTGGGAGTTCTAAAATGTCTCATTCCTTCTTCTGCCCCCTCCCTCCACCCTAGTCCTTTTACCTTCCTCTTCCATCCCCAGTCCCCATTCTTGTTGTCATTCAACACTCATAATGAAGTTCTTAGATGCTTCATGTTCAATATCATCCAAGATCTCCATTCCAATCAAATTTAAGTTTAAAGTGATAGTTACACTTAATTAGAGTCAAATTCTTCTTTTATTTTGGGTTTATCTTAATCATCCCTTTTATCCACTGATCCAGAAGCCTGCAATTTCACACACGGGCACCCAGAAATGCTATATTATTCATTTGGGACCGTGAGACAAACAGAGTTCATGGTCTTGTACATCCATTGTCAGAAGACTTTTATACTCAAATAATTGAGTCAGTTGGGCAGCCACAGCCCCTGGGGAAAAAATTGAGCCAAAAGAGTATAGAAAAAATATAATTTCTCCAAAAGACTCTTTTTTTTTTTTGAGATGGAGTCTCACTCTGTTGCCTCGGCTGGAGCGCAATGGCGTTATCTCGGCTCACTGCAACCTCCGCCTCCTGGGTTCAAGCGATTCTCCTGCCTCAGCCTCCTGAGTAGCTGGGATTACAGATGTGCACCACCACGCCCAGCTAATTTTTGTATTTTTAATAGAGATGGGGTTTCACCAGGTTGGCCAGGCTGGTCTTGAACTCCTGACCTCATGATCTGCTTGCCTCGGCCTCCCAAAGTGCTGGGATTACAGGCATGAGCCACTGCGCCCAGCCCAAAAGACTCTTTCTAAAAACAGTATCAGAATAACATGTTTTCCCTAAAAACCTCTCCACTGAGAAGAATGTATATGTTCAGAAAGAAACACTGGTAACATTTCAGAAATCAATGACAAGATAGGCCAGTGCCCAACAATGGAAAACACAGTGTGTGGGACTATCACAGTGCACAGTCCCCTAGAAACCAAAGAGGAAGAGAAGTACAGAATTTTAAAGCTTGAAAGAGGCCCAAAGACCATGTAATCCAGTTACTTGCAAACCCTTTCTAAGGGCAGATTCTTTTGTTCAAATGAAATCTTACCCGGAAGATTTATATAAAAGCTGAGATGCTCTTATTGAGTCAGGAAGGAACGGGGTGGTCTAGAGCCTAACCCACTCTACTCCACTCCCATCCTCTCACCCGCAAAAGTCCTTGTAAGGGCTCCAGGGAGCCCCTGGGGTTCCTCAAGTCACAGTTTGAAAAAAATCACTATTTCAATCCCACTTCCTCCTTTTGCCACTGGGGAAAAATGAAGCCCAGAGAAGTCCAGGTTACCCAGCCAAGATAGGGGTCTAGGCAGTCACCTATCTTCCTTCAACAATTTTTCCATGATGACACCCCGAATCCTCTCACGAACTGCCTTTTGTTTCTGCAGACTATATGCGTATTTGTATTTGTGTGTTTGTAACCATGCCCGGTGATCCCAAGAAAACATAACAAACCAGTCCTTGCTTTCGCTTTAAAGCTTGGAGTCTGCCATTTGAATACAACATCTCGGCTGCCCAAGATGGCTAGAAGCAGAATGCAAAAAGGCACAGGGTTATAAATACCTGTCTCATAGATGACCTGGGACACTGTGCTTTGCAGCCTAAATTAGGCAGAGTTTCTGTTGTCACGAAGAAGTACTAAAAAGCGGGCAGTTCTCAGCGAGACACCTGAGAGCTGGCATCCACATGAGGAGAGGCCCCATCACTTACATTACACTCATGAAGCCCAGAGATGTTAGCTACATTTTTCTAGGTAGCACAGCTAGGAAATGATGGACACTGAATTTGAATCTAAAGGCAACTAGCTGCAAAACCTGAGGTCTTAACACTGGGCCTATAATGCTCTTCCTTCTCACCACATGGGAAAAACGGAGAAAGACATGATCTTACAAAAGCACTGGGCTCAGCCAGCCTGGGAGAGAGGCAGCGCAGACCGGCACCAGGGTGGAATCTCTGTGTTTCCCCTCCAGCTTGCACAGAGGAAAATTCCTCACCAAACGCACGATCCCCGCACAGCTCCCAGGGACAAGAATTTTCTGCTTGTTTACTGAGTCCCCTGGGCTGGGAGTGGGGGGTTGCAGGGCAGGGGTGAGCTGCGCACAAAAGCAGGATAAAGGTAAACTTTCTGCATATGAGAACCATTTCCCCCCCTCCAAGGAGCCGTGTCACACTGTATGTCACCGTCATCAAAGGGGCTGTGCGTAAACCTGAAAAACCAAACGGACCTGTCTGTAGGTGTCACTTATATCACAAGGCTACAGGTGTCTTTATTTCCACTGCACGCTGGTGCTGGGAGCGCCTGCCTTCTCTTGCCTTGAAAGCCTCCTCTTTGGACCTAGCCACCGCTGCCCTCACGTAAGCGCCTTTTCTTTGCTTTTTTGGATGAATCGTAAGGGGTGTCAGGGCTCAGAGGCTCGGCCTGGGGCCTGGGTCTGCTCGTCCATCTCCAGCTCCAGGGCCGGCACCTGCGCTGGGTGCAGTCCCAGGGCCTCCGGGAGCTGTTTGACACGGATGTGACGGCTTGCCTCAGAGAGACCTGCTTGCCTCCGCAGGCCGTGTGGCCACCAGCCCTCCTCACAGCCACCACTCCCTCTGGATCCCTTAGCTGAACCAAGGGGAATTAAGAGAACGCGCCCAGGCGCTCAGTTCTCTATCCTCCCTAAAGCTTCTTTAGGAAGGGAAGCTGGATTTTACTCAGAAAAATATTCAGCTTCAAGGAAAGCCCCCCACCTACCCTTCTCCCCTGACTGAATTCCTTTCCCCACCGGCCTGCCCACTGTCCCCCACCCCCTCGATACAGAGAACTCCCTTATTATAGTTTGGGGCATTTTCAGGAATTTGTACAAAACAGTTTTAAAAGAAACCCATTTGCCCTCTGACATCTCCCCAGAAGAGAATGCTTCCAGAAAAGCAATGGTTAGCGTTTTTCCACTGTGTTCTCAGGCCTTGTCAGACTCTGCAGTGTGTGGGGTTTCTGTGGGGTTGCCCCCTGCTGACAGCGACAGGTAGCACAAGCTCCCTCCTCAGGCTGAAGCCGGGCCTGCGTGTGGATGCCTTTTGTACGCCCGAAAGTGTGTCAGACATCACTAGGTGCAATCGCTTCATGTTACAGATGAGGAAACTGAGGCCAGAAAGGCTAGATGACTTAGGGAGGCAGCTCTGTGGTTCAGTCTAGTCCAGAGACCCAGGGAAAGGGGTGGTTTGCCCATCCGAGTGAACGCTTGATTCTGTTGTCTTCGTGTTCTCTGCAATACTGTTTTTCATAATCTAAGGTATTCTCGGGCCGGAGTTTTCAGTTTGGTCATCTCCCTTTTTCAGAAGTCACCAGAGTGGCAAATTTTTAGATACATTGTTGATGGCTGATTTTTCCCTCTAAAACAGGATTGAATATATGTATTATGCCCCGTCCTTTGCATATATCGGATTGCATGATTTAAAAAAAAAAAAATCCCCATTTTAGAGATGAGGAAACCGTAGTTCGAAGAGGGGCATGAATATTTATATACCACATCTATATGAAAAAAAGCTTAAGAATTTCAGCAGTCTGGGTAGTAAGAAATGTGCCCCACGTTCGCAGCAGCAGAGGTAGGATTTAACCCCTGATATATGTAATCCAAAACTGGTAAGCTTTGCATCGAAGCCTACAGCAAACTACATGGCATACCTTTTTGGATCTTCGCTGCACCTTCAGAAAAACAGCTACAAACAAACAAACACGCAAACTCCCTAAGCGAGCTAAAGAAAAATGAGGAATCACTTGACAAGAGGTCAGCAAATTGGTTCTCACAGTTGCTAGGGTTCCTCTCAGAAGAACAAACCCTCAAGCACCCAACCCTCAATCTTTCTTTAGCAGTAAGTGTTGAAATACTCCACTGGGTTCTCCTCAGTGGGCCCCTTCTTAGGGAGGTCCAAGGGCTGGGAAATTGACCCTCCCTTGCTCACAAGTCTTGGGACGGAGTGGACATTTGGGTATCACTGAGGCTTTAAGGAAGGAAAACCGATTTTCTTCCCAATGATACCACTCAGAGGGTGGGGTTGAGGAAGCCCAATCTTGGCCACTTTTTTCTATATTTTGCACCCTATGGCCTAGTTCTGCCCAGTGATGATTTGGCCCGTAAACAGCCAATGTGTAGATGCTTAATTGGGCCAATTTTTGGTCACATGCCCAGAGTGAAGTTGATGATCACCACCAGAGTCAGGAAGGAATTTTCCTCCTCTGGCAAACTGGCCAAGGCTGAGTGGTTTGCTCCTTCCCCTCTCTCTGGGAGGCTGAGCAGGGGTGCCGGGTTGCTCAGGCCATGGGAGCCACACCTGTTATTGCTGCCTCTGATTTGTGTGACACTGAGAAGCCCACAGGCCTGTCCCTCCAACTCGGTGGACCCTCTCTGTGTGCATTTGGTGTGTGAGCCAGCTCTGAGAAGGGTTCAGAAGCCACTGGAGGCATCTGGGGACCTCAGCTTCCATGCCATCTCTGCCTCACTCCCACAGGTACCTGCAGCCAACTTTCTCATGTGTGAAGTGAGCCCACCTGATTCCACCACCTTGTGTTAATCATTCTTGAGCTTTTCCTACTTACTAGGCAGCTAGAATGATGACTACATTTGGGGGAAACTGATTCCAGCTTCCACGGATCTATCGGTGGGCAGTGAGTGAGGGTCCAGAGTGTTTAAGGTACCCAGCTAGGCTGGGCAAAGAATATCCAGTTGTCCTGAGGTATCTACCTCCAACTGGGGTAGAAGGCAGTGGGCACAGGAGAAAAGGGAGAAGAGGAAATCAGGGAGCTTTTTCAGCACTAAAAGTTCAGTCTGTGTGTAGTGGTTGGATTTTCCTCCAATTTGGTGGACTTGCTTGACCAAAAAAATGCAAATATAATCAATGTGTATGCATATGTGTGTGAGTGCCCAGGTTTGGATGTGTTGGCTCAATCAGGTGGGTGTCTGCAGAAAGTCACAGAGTTAGGGCAGACCTTGGGGGCTGTTTTATCTGTGTTCTTGTTTAGTAGTTGAAGAACTGAGATTTGGAGAGGGGCAAGAGGCAGAATCATAACTCCAGGCCCAGGGCTCCTTCCATGATGAGCCAGCTAGTCCCTCACAAAATGAAAAGTATGTCCAGAACAGCAGGCCAAGAGACCTCCCAGCAGATCCCTGTCTGTACTGGCGCTGACACTAGGTGGATCTATCACAGCGCTTCTCCACCTTTTTTTTATCACTTCTCCTAAGGACACTTTTTAGGTCATTTTTTCTTAATCATCTCCCCACCAGAAATGTGAGTACCAGAGATAAACTATACATCTACTGTAGACCTTTGGAGCATGATAAAACACTGTAATTAATAACTCAGTTTTTTGATCCCCAAGAACTCATCTTTGTTCCCTAAAGAGGGGGGCAATATCACCCCCCTTGAGCAGGCCTGGCCTAACCTCAGGCCTGTGTTCACATATCCCTGGGCCTCAGTGTTACTTCTGAGAAAGGGGGCTCTGGACATCTGCCTTTTCACACCTATCCTGCTCTACCTCCACTAAAGAAGTCCTTAAGAGCTAAAATGTTCAATTATTGCAAGGACCTTAGAGGGCCTAGAGAAGAGAGGCTACTGAATACAAAGCAGCCATTATTCTTGAACTCTCACACCTACTGCATGCTGGCTAAGTAGCCAAGGTCTTTTGTGGAGAGCCCAGAGTTAATAACACCCACTCCTGCTGTAACAGGAAAAAAAAAAAAAAACACCTTTTTCTGCTTTTATAAAAGATATTTTTTCCAAAAGCAAGAAATAATTACAGAAGAAAAATAGCATGCTGTACACCTGAGAAGGCCCTTTACAAAAACTTAATGGATATAATTTGCCTTAGAAGGAATTACCAAAGGGAATCAGATACAGCATTGTGTATAGCACTAGAGAGATTACAGATCAAGTGAGTAGGCCGGTATAAAGAGGAGAAAGAATAACAATATTAAAAGAGGTAAAAATACTATTGATCAAAAAATATTTCTAGTTTTTATATAATGCCATTCAATTTACCAAATGACCTTTTTTTTTGTTAATACCCAATGACTTTTGAGAGCAATTAGTGAGGCATAGATGAGGAAGATCTCATTCCCACTGTCGTGTTTTGTATTTGATGGATTCCTTATTTGACACTGAAGACCTGGGGACTGTTTTCTGTTTTCTTCCGTGTGGAATTCACCTCTCCTTTCTCCCAACCCAAAGAAGGTCATATCACAGGCCTGCCATCCTCTTCTTTAGTTTTCTGAGCCTTCTGGCCCAGAAGAAAAGGGATATATTTGTCTTCAGCCCTCACTTAAAGGAACTTTTCTGAAGTCCAGTCCAGAAAGCAGAAGTGGCTTTCAGCTCCTGAGGCCCTTCCCTTCCTCATAACCTCTCACCCCATCCCTCAGCATCCTACCCCCTCCCTGCCCCCCTCACTCAGGATATAAAACCAGCCAATCCGTGGGAAAATCACAGCCCAAACCCAGGCAGCCTTGACATCTGTTTGATTGGGCTCCCAGGAGGAGATCCATGCCCACGATAATCTGCAGAGCACATTAACCCTCTCCAGGCATCAGCAAAGAGACTTCCCAGCAGAGTCTGGAAACTCTTGGGTGATGGCCCAGAAAAGGTGCCTAAGTGTCAGAATTCAAACTCGGTTATATATTTACATCTGGAGAGGAGTTCTCATGCACGTTTTTGTTGTTGTTGTTGTTGTTTTCGAGACAGAGTCTCACTCTGTCACCCAGGCTGGAGTGCAGTGGCACGATCTCAGCTCACTGCAACCTCTGCCTCCTGGGTTCGTGATTCTCATGCCTCAACCTCCTGAGTAGCTGGGATTACAGGTGTGCACCACCATGCCCAGCTAATTGTTGTGTTTTTAGTGGAGACGGGGTTTCGCCATGTTGTCCAGGCTGGTCTCGAACTCCTGACCTCAAGCGATCTGCCCACCTTGGCCTTCCAAAGTGCTGGGATTACAGGCATGAACCACCGCACCCGGCGTCTCATGCACATTTGATGGTGATGATGATGGTGGTTGGAGATTTTCAAGCATCTGCAAAGAATTGACCTTTGGTTTCAGAATCACACAATCCTGCCCCTCTTAGTACTGAGGTTTGATTTGCTATATAAGTGTGCCTTGGGGCTCAATTGTGTTTTCAGAAAGAGAAGCAGATGGGCTGAGAGTCAGAAAACTAAGGACCTCCCTGCCACTTAACTCTGGCATCCACTGGCTATGTGACCTTGAGCTAGTTACACAAATTCCCTGAGTCTCAACTTCCTCAACTGTAAAATGGTGGAGGCGAGGAGGGAAATTGGACTAACTCAGTATCTTCCAACACGTGGTACTCACATCAACTGGCAACATGCCAGATGAATCTGGTTAGGGGTTGCAAACTTTTTCTTAAAGGGCCAGGTATTTTAGGATTAGCAGGCCAAAAGGCAAAATCAAGGATATGATGTAAATATTTATATAACCACTTAAAATGTAACCACTTAAAAATGTAAAGTTTTTTTTATTTTTTATTTTTTATTTTTTATTTTTTTGTGAGACATAGTCTTGCTCTGTCGCCCAGGCTGGAGTGCAGTGGCACAATCTCGGTTCACTGCAACCTCTGCCTCCCAGGTTCAAGCGATTCTCCTGTCTCACTCTCCCGAGTAGCTGGGATTGCAGGCATGCACCAACACACCCAGCTAATGTTTGTATTTTTAGTAGAGACGGGGGTTTCACCATGTTGACCAGGCTGGTCTTGAACTCCTGACCTCAAGTGACCCACCCGCCTCGGCCTCCCAAAGTGCTGGGATTACAGGTGTAAACCACTGCGCCCAGCAGTAAAATTATTTTTAACTGCAGGCTTTACAAAAATAGGTGAGGGACTGCATTTTGCCTATAGGATGTAGTTTGCTAACCCCTGATTTAGGTGGCGCATGAACCATTTTTATTCAAATGCTTAAATATTTATTTTTATGTATGTTTAAAAAATCCTGACTTTCCATTTATATTGCTAATATAAAGTTTTCCTTTTAATTAGCATATTTATGTTAAAACAAAAAGGGAGTTGATGATTTTTTTAAGTATTTTAAGTAAATAATAGTGCTCGTAGTATATGGATTGAGTGAAATTATCACAGTCGTAGGCAAATGACTGAAGTTTAGGAAACACTGGACTAGATGAAGAATTCACTCCTGCCAATCTTAAAATTCCATGTGTTTAATATCCCAAGACACTTACCAGTGGTGTGATCTTGAGCAGCTATGTTCCCTTTGCAAAACGAGGAAAGAACTACTCTATGTCAACATTATTTCAAGAATCAGAAAAAAGAATTCGGGTGAACAGATTGTTTTAATCCACCAAACACAGATTATTATTTTTTCTGAATTGCGGGGAGATGGGATTCAGTAGAGAGTGGCATGTGGGAACATGGGAAGCAGCAAAGTTGAGACCAGCACAGGCAAGAATGTGTGCAAGCGGGGGCCCTAGGCCTGTTCTTTTCTGCCTTCCTTCCAGCCTCAACCACACACCCTGCCCCAGAGCTCCTTGCCGCCACCAAAGTGTGTGGGGACTGGAGCACAGCAATTAGAATGGGCTTTTTAAACAGACACACCTGAGCCACCACCCAGCTTCGCTGGCTTTGCATGTATTACCCGGAATCTCAGAGCCTCCATCCCTCACCTATGAAATGGAACTGCTGCCAGTACCTATCTCAGAGTGGTTGTTCTGAGCAGACCAGGAAGAATATAGCTAAAGTGCTAAAGTACTCAGCATGAAGCCCAAAGTGAAGTGCTTGTTGCAATTACCACAGGTCCACACTCGTCTCCAAAACCTTGGGCCGCACATGCTGCAGAATTCTGAATTCTTCACAGATTTAGGAAGGCGAGATAGTATATATACAGTGGAGTACAGATTACCCCTCAGGGTTTAGGGTTTGCTCTAAACATTAATATTTCTGCACTGCATCATAAGAATATTCACTCAGTGCAATAAATAAAACTGCAACCATAGTTATAAAACTGTATAACATATATATGTTGTATGTATGTGTATGTATGTATGAAACAGTATATAAAACTATATAACATCAATTCAGGACTGTTTTGTGCTAGAAAATAAGATTGCAGCAAACACACACACACGTACACACACACTTCCTTTCAGTTTTCAGAGCTTTCAGATTTCAGAATTATGGATTAATCACACACAGTAATTCTTACCTCATTTTTATTTATTTATTTTTTTCGGCCAGTTTCTGTGGCTCACACCTGTAATCCCAGGACTTTGGGAGGCCAAGAAGGGGAGATCACTTGAGGTCAGGAGTTCGAGACCAGCCTGGCCAACATGGTGAAACTCCATCTTTACTAAAAATACAAAAATTAGCCAGGTTTGATGGTACACACTTGTAGACCCAGCTACTCGGGAGGTGGAGGTGGGAGGATCGCTTGAACCCAGGAGGCAGAGGTTGCAGTGAGCCTAGATCACACCACTACACTCCAGCCTGGCGACAGAGCAGGATTACATCTTTTAAAAAAAACAATTTTATTTTATTTTTATTATTTCAACTTTTAGTTTAGATTCAGGGGGTATGTGTGCAGGTTTGTTACCTGTGTGTATTGCACCATGCTGAGGTTTCAGGTGCTATTGATCTCATCACACAGGTACTGAGTATAGTATCCAGTAGTTAGTTTTTCAACCTTGGCCCCCTTCCCTGCCTCCTCCCTCTGGTAGTCCCCAGTGTCTATTGTCCCCACCTTTATGTCCAGGAGTACTCAACATTTAGTGCCCCCTTCTAAGTGAGAAGATGAGGTATACGGTTTTCTGTTCCTGACTTAATTTGCTCGGGATAATAGCCTCCAGCTGCATCTGTGTTACTGCACAGGGCATGATCTTGTTCTTTCTTATGGCTGCATCTCACGCTGTTTCTAGAAGCATATTATTGAACATCATAAGTCAGAGTTCAGGGGTCAGATGTGAGCAAACAGGAAACATAAATAAAGAGGCAATATTGCATAATCAGAGCCTCCATGCTCCAGTCCCCTCTTTGCCACTTTCTAGTTATATCACTTTGGCAATTGTCTCAACCCTTTTGCCTCAGTTTTCTCATCTAAAATGGGGATAGACAGGATATGGCAAGGGTGGAATAATGTCACTCGTAGGTGACACTAGGCGGTGCCTGCTCCTAGTGAGTGACATATTTGTTATCATTTTTAAAAAACAAGTATCGCCCTGCTAGGGGCTCCTGCACAGTGTGGCTTCAGGAGTACCTCACCCCAGCCTCCTCACGACCTCTCCTGCTGTTGCAGGGTAATGTTGGACTCGGTGACACACAGCACCTTCCTGCCTAATGCATCCTTCTGCGATCCCCTGATGTCGTGGACTGATCTGTTCAGCAATGAAGAGTACTACCCTGCCTTTGAGCATCAGACAGGTGCGTACATTTGAAGGAGCCCATCTGAGTGCAGCCAGGATGGGCTAGGGCAGGAGGTGGTGCTGGCCGCAGGTGGAAGACAAAGCTGTGCTGGGGCCTAGGAACACCAGAGTTCAGGGCAGAGGGCTGGAGGGCTCCTGGATGGAAGGAAGGGCAACCTCTTGCAGATAAAAGGTGCTGGAACCCTCACCCCCAAACTCCCTAGTTCTGTGGCCTCGAGGCCGTGCACGGCTCAGCTAACCTCTCTGAGCCTCGTTTTGCTGCCAAGTAAAATGTACGTCTCTTGGAGTTATTATGATATTTAAACAATGTAGTAGAAAGAAAGCCCTTAGCCCAGGACCTGGTATGCTGTGTTTGCTTGGTCATGGTGGTTTTAGCCAACATTTACTGAACACGAGCTGTGTACCAAACCTTGTGCCAAGCACCATCTCATCCTTGCCAAAGCCCTATGAGATGAACAATTATTATCCCCATTTTATACATGAAGAAACTGAGATACAGAGAGGCTAAGTGACTTGCCCTGGGCCTCACAGTTAAGCTCCATGCAAGTTGACCCATCTTATAATTGATATCACACTGTGGTTATTGATATTAATATATCATTATTCTCTGAGCTTCTATTTCTTTTTCCCTAAACCAGGGGTGATGAGAGCTACTATAAGGACTAAGGGAGCCAAAGGGTGTAAATATGTAGCCTGGCACAAAACAAGTGTTCAGTAAATATGAGCCCCTCACTGTTCCCCAGGCCTCCTTCCCCACCCTCCCTCCTCTTTCTCAGCCTGGATTTCTCCACCTGAGAAGGCAGCATGGGACCTTGAGAAAATCCCATGCCGGAGGGAGGCCAGCCGAGCTTTGCCCCCAGAAACCCTCTGAGGGCCTCTGTCACTGAGGTGCTTGGGTGACCACATATCACAGCACACCTGGCTGACTGCTGGCACAACAGGAGCACACGCTGCTCAGCGGTCATGCAAGTGCCAATCAAGCTGTCAGTCCTCACTGAGTGTTAACCCCATGTAGGAGTCCAGACTCAGTGTCCGGAGGCAGGCAGTGTGCAAGAGAGGCCATGCCTCCAGGGACTGCAAAAAGTCCACTACCAGAAGCCCCTGCCTCTGGGGCCAGGGACCAGGCCACACTCACAGACTTGAGGCACTTACCTACATAATGCAATCCCACACCTGCCCCCACCCCACATGGACACACATACACACACGCGTGCACACACACACACGCACATGTGAAATCTCTCACCCTCATCTGTAAGGTCTAGATCATTGCATTTGGACTTGAATCAAACAGATACATCTTACAATTCTCCTTTAGGCCTAAGAAGCACCTTGTTTCCCAGAAAGACATGAGAAATGTACTGTGTCTCCTTCCCTTGAACTTTGGTTAACAGGTTAAATCTGAAGGAGGAAAATGAAAACTTTCAAGTCGCCGTGCCCTCCCTATGTTTCCCACAGTGGTGGGGCCCAGCTCCAGGCTCTCTCTCTACCTATGCATAAGGCCAGGCCTCACTTAACCCAGACCTGCCATCATGAGAGCCCCCTCTTTCTGCCTATTCTGCTGGGAAGTAGTTGGGGTGGCAGTGGGAGGGGCGGGCTACAACCAGCTGCCCCAGGCAATGGCCTGGGCAGTGAAGCAGCGGCTCTGTGTCATGAAGACCTGGTGTGTCCCAAATGGGAAGTCTGGCTCTGACACTAGCTGTGTCATCTTAACCTCTCATGTCCCAGTTAGTTTCTCATCTGTAAAATGGGAATGACCACAATGCTACCTTGTAGAGTTGTTATGCTAATGAAATGAGTTATCATATGGGAAGTGTTTAGGACACAGTCCGGTACCTGGTAAGCACACATAACTGTTTAAAAAATTGAAGGATTAGCTGGACGTGATGGCTTACACCTGTAATCCTAGCACTTTGGAAGGCCGAGGCAGGATTATCACTTGAGCCTAGGAATTGGAGACCAGCCTGGGCAACATAGTGAGACCTTGTATCTACAAAAAATTGTTTAAAAATTGGCCTGGTATGGTGGCACATGCCTGTAGTCCTAGCTACTTGGGAGGCTGAGGCAGGAGGATCCCTTGAGCCCGGAAGGCCGAGGCTGCAGTGAGCTGCAGTCACGCCACTGCACTCCAGCCTGAGCGACAGTGAGATAAAAAAAAAAGGTTGGGGAGCAGGCATGGTGGCTCCTGCCTGTAATCCCAGCACTTTGGGAGGCCAAGGCAGGCAGATCACCTGAGGTCAGGAGTTTAAGACCAGCCTGGGCAACATGGAGAAACCCCGTCTCTACGAAAAAATACAAAAATTAGCTGGGCATGGTGGCACGCACCTGTAGTCCCAGCTACTCGGGAGGCTGAGACAGGAGGATCCCTTGAGCTCAGAAGGTTGAAGCTGCAGTGAGCTGTGAGTATGCCACTGCACTCCAGCCTGAGCAACAGGGGGAGACTCTGGGTCAAAAAAAAAGGATTAGTTTCAGTTTGGGATAATGAACAAATTCTGGAAGTGAATAGCACTGATGACTGTGCAACAATGTGAATGTACTTAATGCCACTGAACTGTACCCTTAAGAAAAGTTAAAATGATTAAGTGTTATATTATGTATGTTTTACCACAATTTTAAAGAATGAGGTTAACAGAAGTGATCACCAGTGGCATTGCCAGAGTTCCTTAAATCCAACCAAGTCTTAGACATTCAGACACAGCTCTCTGGCCAGAGGCTTCCGCATTTCCATCAACGTCATGAAAGGTTAGACCAGGCCATTGCTAGGATCCCTTCCAGAAGCTTCTGTGATTCCTGCATCAGGCAATATCGAAGACACAGCCTTCTCCTCCCACCACCCACTGAGAAAACAGAAATTCCCATCAAGTCATGCGGCCAGTGAAAATAAAATAGCCTTCGAGACTGGCCCAGGTTCCTAAGGCTCCCTGAGGGATGGAGCCAGGCTTTCAAGTAGCCACCGGCCCTCGGGATTTCAGGGGAAGCTCAGTATCACTGACCTCCAAAAGGTCGAAGTTGGGTGTGAAATGTTCACCTGGAGTAAACACCTCTCTTGGAGCTGCCTGGGCACCGGGTGAGCCTTGTAGCCCCTGCTCTCCTCCACAGGTGGGAGGATTAGCAGGAGGGGCCTTCTGTCTTTTATCAACAAGGACGTTGCCACCCAGAGAGGTGCAGCCATTTGGAGTTTCTACAAAAGCCCCCTCTGGCAGGGGTGGGTCAGGAGACAGCCAGCTTTGCCTCTGGGCACTGCTCAGCCAACTTTCCCTGCTCCATGGCCAGCAGGCTCTGAGATACCTCTCCTGAGGTCCTTACCCACCTCCCAGGAAATACTATCTGGAATTCTGGGCCCTCCTAAAGATTGTTGCAGTGGCAGCTTCCTGTTCACCCAGGTTCATGGGCAGGCACTGCCACTTACCAGCCATGTGACCTGCAGCCAGTTTTTTGAGATATGCTTTCCTCTGCCTCCTGGAGTTGGGGAGATTGAATGATATTTTGTGTACGAAGTGTTTAGTCACGTGCCTGGCACTTGGGAAGTGCTCACCCTAGCCAAGAACTCCTCACCACTCCCTGTTGGGTGGAAAAACAGCCTTCCCTCTCCTCTCTTCATTGTCCATATTGAACAAAAATAACAACAAAACTCCATCTCAAGCTTCTCAGTTCAGAATTTTTAACAGCTTAGATATTTGAGACCTGAGGGAAGGGAAGGAAAAGGAGAAAAAAAAATGATGTGCCTTCTAGACAAATGATGTCTAGGAGAGGGAAGGGTGGAATACTCAGCCTATTTAGGAAAACCAGCTGTTCTCAAAAACCCTTCAAATGGCTTGAGCAGAGTGCCGCTGAATCTGTGCCCTGGTGTGGTAACCACAAAGGATTCTGACCTGCTCTTTGAAGCAGGACTTCTGCTTGGCTGCACTGCAGGCAGGAGGTTGGACAGTCCAGATTGCAAAATACTCTAGAATTTCATGAACTTACCCTGCCTTGCCTGTGGCTTTTTCAAAGTAAAGAACGATGACTACTGGAAAATGTATCCAAGTGGGCGGGAGAGTTGGTTGGGGGGGAGGCTGCATGTAGTTCACATGCATATGATATTTTTAAAAGATGGTTTCTCCAGTCGAGTTCCAGTAGCCAACCCTCCAGTAGTCATTGAGTACCCTGGCCTTGCCACTACTTTCTTTCTGGAATTCTTTCCTTAACCTCCACAGACCAACACCCCTCCCCTGACAGCCAATGTGCCACGCACACATGCAGCGCCTCCTTTGCTTTGGAATCTTGCTTATACTTTGTCAGCTGCAGAGGTTTCTAAACTGAGGTTCCTGAGAGGCTTTAGGGGTTTCCCAGAGGTTCCTTAGGGACCACCAGAGAAGGGAGTGGAAGTGACAGTTGAGAAGATGGGGCTTCAGTCCTTCTCTGTCCACCTCCATCCCTAAGCATGCTTCTCCACTTTAATTCTGAAGACGGTAGAGCACAGTGAGGCTGGGCTGCAGGAGCCAGAATACACCCAGATAACCCACTCCTAGCTCTGCCACTTACGGGTTACGTGAGCTTGAAAAGGGTCACACCCGTGAGCCTTACTTTCTCCCTTTGTAAAATGGGTAACATGACAGAGGACTTCATAGCATTGTGTTAGGGACAACATGAGAAAGCACAAATAATTTAGCATGATAACGGGCACATACTAAGTGCTCAATAAATATGTTAGCTATAATATTATTGCACAATGTGAGATTTTATTTGAAGAAAGCACTTTTTGTAAGAAAAAAAAAAGTGCAAAACCCACTGGTCAGAGAAAGAGGCATCTGCATCCCCACATGGGCTTTCCTAAGCAAGATTCATGTTTTATGTACAGAAGCTTGAGAGCAGATACAAAGGAAAGAATCTAAGAACTTCTAAGTCAAAACCAGATCAACAAATACAAAATCATCTGAAAGTCTGAGGTGAGCCCTGTGGCAGCGCCCACACCTCAGGAGGACTCACTGTTGGCCACCTCTAGCCCAGTGGACATGCACCTGAGCCTTCTGGGTGGCCATGGCCCCAGGACTGCTCAGGGCTTGGCTCTCTTGGCCCCTTCCTAACTCCACGCTCCCAAGGCCATGGCTACTTTGCAGCCAGCCCTTCTCCTGTTTTCTCTATACAGTTTCCTATGCTGCACTGGACTTAACTTTTCCATCTCATGGTCTCTTTCCATAGGCTATGCTGGAAAGCCAGGAAGGGGTATGGGATGGAGCTGGACTGGCTCTGGGAGGAAACTTGAAAGCCATTTATCATTTCAGGTTTTCCCTCATAAAGTCCTTCCTTTCAGTGACAAAGCTGCAATTGATGGTGCCCCTGCTATCCAGTTCATTCACCACCTCTCTTCAGTGCTGCCCCGGGCAAAACACTTTCCCAACTCCCTATGCTAGTAAATCATGCTAATTATGGTCCAAGTTTGTCTAACTCGGGCCTCCTCTGACCCAGACTGTCTGTCTTGTCCCAGCCAAGCCCTGAGCTTGCTTTACTGTAGTTTTTCCTCAGCTAGATTGAGGAAGGCCCCGTTTCCCTGAGAACAAATGTATTCCCAAAATAATAACCAATAACAGGTGACTTATACTGAAAACTTACTGTCATTCAGATACTAGGCTAAGTTCTTTACCTGCATCATTTCCTCTTCACAACAAACCTCCTAAGATATAGGTACTATTGTTATTTTTATTTTACCAGTGAAGGAAACTGAGGTCCAGAGAGGTTAGGACAGTTTGTTAGAGTTGCACAGCTAATCCATTGAAGAGCCAAGATTTCAAATCAGGAAGGTCCATCTCCACAGCCCAGGCTCAGTTGCCACACCCAACCCTGTGACTTCCATTGGAAGGTCCCTTCCACTCCAACAGGCTCATTGGCTGGGAACAAGAATTGGATTCTTGTACAGAATTCCTGTAGCTGGCAGGTTCATCTAGCTTCACAAACTTTCTTACCACTGCTCCCCAATCAGCAGAGGAAAAAGATCAAGTTCTGCTCCAGAGGGACATAACTGAAAGCTCTAAGCTCAAACTTCTTTTAGAACCTGCAAATTTTGCATTCTGCTGCATATCTATTTTGTTGTAATATAAAAATCAGGCCAGGCACAGTGGCTCATGCCTGAAATCCCAACAATTTGGGAGGCTGAAGCAGGAGGATTGCCTGAGCCCAGGAGTTCAAGACCAACCAGCCTGAGCAAAATGGTGAGACCCTGTTCCTACAAAATTAAAAAATTAGCCATGCATGGTGTTGCACAACTGCGGTCCCAGCTACTCAAGAGGCTGAGGCAGGAGGATTGCTTGAGCCCAGGAGGGTGAGCCTGCGGTGAGCCATGTTCGAGCAACTGCACTCCAGCCCGGATGACAGAGTGAGACCCTGTCTCAAAAAAACCAAAAATCAAAATTTTCCCTCAAAATTTTTGCTTTGAGTGAGGCTCCAAGAAAATGAACAGTGTGGGTTCCAGGATCTTTATATAGGAAGGGCTTAGGGACAACAATCCATTTGGAAGAGATGGCCAAAGGACATGTCTGGAAATGATTTTTTTTTTTTGGAAATGGAGTTTCCGTCCTATCACCCAGGCTGGAGTGCAATGGCGCCACCTCGGCTCACTGCAACCTCCACCTCCCGGGTTCAAGCAATTCTCCTGCCTCAGCCTCTCAAGTAGCTGGGATTACAGGCGTGCACCACCACGCCCGCTAATTTTTGTATTATTAGTAGAGACAGGGTTTCACCTTGTTGGCCAGGCTGGTCTTGAACTCCTGACCTCAGGTGATACACCTGCCTCAGCCTCCCAAAGTTCTGGGATTACAGGTGTGAGCCACTGCACCCGACCTGGAAATGATTTTTTAAGAACACTGCATAAGATTGAGAAGACATCAGTTATCTATAACAAAGAAGGAAGTGGGGGATTAATGGACTCACCCTCTGATCTTTCTCTTGAAGATGCATAATGAATATTATGTGACTTTCAATTACCTGCTCTGTGCACCCTGGGGATACAGCACCACCACCATCACCCTCTCCTCTGCTCAGTTTCAGAAGCTTGAGTCTTGTGTGTGTCCTGATGATTAAGAATTTTACAAAGTCACACAGACTCGCCTGTGTCCCCAGCTTTTAAACCAAAGATGGCAGCATTAAGGGACCTAACTCAGGCTGGCAATGCAAAGACAAATTAGCTAGGTTTGGTTTCTAAGCTTGGTTTCTAATATAACTCCTATTTTTTTATGAAGAAAATAAACCGAAGGTCTAGAAAGGGACAAAGCAGCTGGCTTACACATTAAAAAAAAAAATTAGAAGTGTTTGAAGGAATGTAATTAAAGTGGTGACACGGGAAGCCCAGGAGGTAACCCTAATATTGACAAGTATAAGTGGATGATATTTAATGAGCACTTGCCATATGCCTGGCCCTGTTCTAAGTACTTTCCATGTATTAATTTACATAATCCTTTTAATAGCCCAGATAAGTAGGTCCTATTATTTTTATTTTGCAGACGAGTCCAAGGAGGCAGGACCACTAAGTGTGAGAGACCATGTGCCCTTTCAACTTTGAAGGGGAATTCAAAATATAGGAATCCTGGTTTCAAGTTTGAGAACAGTGATTTTCAAGGAGCTTCCTGGAGCTAATACCTTCACCTCCACTCCCAGTAAAACAGGGTTGCTTTTTTCCAGATAAGTTTTAACTTGAAGAAAATATTATTCAACCATAAAAGAATCCTTCAAAGTCTTAGCATGCCCACTCCAAACAATAATCTTGAAGGAGACAAGTGGCCAAAAGCCTGTCAGATTGTTCATCACAAAGTGATGGCCAGGAGTGATCCAGCCCATGAAGACATTTTGACTGGGCTTCCCGTGGTGTTTTGTAAAAACCAAGCCAGTTGCCACACTTGAAAATAGAAATCAGGAGATTTCAGTTAGCAATCTGGTCCTGGCAACACAAGGCCCACCTTTCCACAAGGCAAGGGGTCGGGTAGCCATTGTGCACTTTGGCATGAACTTTCCAATCCCCACTGTCTCCACATGGGGCCACTTCAGGCATAGACATTATCTGCTGACCCTGCGGGCATCTGGTGCACCCACCCAGCTCTGAAAGCTAAAGTCCTCCTTCTGAATTTAAATGCATCTCAGATTATAGCATCACTTGTGAAAATTCCCCTAGAATTTCTGAAAACTCCCTCTAGTTCAATTCTTCCTTCCAATGCAGCTGGCCCTGAAACAAGTGTCCTGACCCACTTCAGACTTCAAAGGAGCTGGCAGAGCCTGCTGCTTAATAATAGTGACCTATGGGCATTCAGATCAAGCCTACCAGGCCCATGATGGTCTACTGGTCGACATAGGCAGAAGGGCCTCATGGCTCAACTTTCCCAAAATGTTGAGATTATTTTATAAATGATAGAAGCGTTGAGAAAAACACTTTACATTTCCAGACAACACAACCCATTAAAAATAATATATTCTGCGGGTATATAACCCCTTATTTGATTGCCCTGAGTTCATGTCTTCCAAGTAGCAAAAGGGTCTTCTTCATGTCTTCATTAAGGTTCTAAACACTATCATCTTCAGTCTCTCCATCCTCTTTCTGATTCTTCAAAGCTAGATTGTATTTTTTATTTTTTCTAGTCAGGCTCTGCTTATCCATTATTTATAATTACAATTACACATATCTACCTTCATCCAAATCTTGCTTTAGTCAGTCTTGAGATGTGTGCCCAACTTGGTCCTCCTCAACCAAGAAGAGTGGGGCGTGGTAAGAGGGAAAATGCCACTTTTCCCTCTTCAGTAGCTCCTTTACTGACAGGCCGCGTGACCTTACAGGGGTCCCGTCAGTCCCCGGAACGGCAATCTCCTCACGTGTAAAGTGGAGAGAGTGACTGTCAGTCACCTGGTCAGTCAGTCACACTCACTGAGGTAGGCCTGTGGTGGGCTAGGCCAGGCTCCAAGCACTCCTGGTTCAGGGCGAGCAAAAGCTCTAGGTCTGGAGGGGAGGGATGAGGAGGACGCCTGATGGGCACTCAGTGAGGAGGAAGAGACCTCTGCGAGGGGGAGTGAGGATGAGCAGAGATTCCTCAGGAGAAGGCAGATGGGGACCACGTTCCATCCAAAGAGAAGTCGCTGTGGGAAGACTCTGGGCCGTGGAGCCTCCTGAAAGAGAAGAGCAGGAGAGGGGCTGGTGAGGAGGGGCTGACAGCGGCGTCCCTCGTCTGGGCAGCCTCCGCTCTGCCACTCTCCTCCCGTCCTGAGGATGGGACCCCCGGAAAAGAGGCCTGCCATGGCACCCAGAGCAGCCATTTTCCTCCCAGTTCTGGGGCTTTGGAAGGAGCTTGCGGATGAGGAGAGGGAGCCTCCGCAGGGCTCTGGCTCCCCTCCAGGGGCCGAGGCCGCACACAAAGCCGCTCTGTGGGTGAGCTTCAAAGCAGAGCGCCGAGGAGCAGGGAGCCAGCGCCAGCAACACCTCCCCGGTGTGGGGCCGACTCCCCGCCTGGGCGTTTCTCCGAATCCTTGAGGCCCCCTTGGCTTCCGCAAACAATATGGCCCTCTTCAAGTGCCAAAGAAAATAACAAGGGGGTGGAAGCAGAGAGGGGAGGGGAGGGAAACGGGAACAGAGCCTTGGCGAAACCTTTCCATGAAATCAACTGTGCCCTCCGACGGCCGCACACCGATGGCCATCTAGGGCAGGGCCCGCAGCTGAAAAATGTCAAGGCTCATAAACATCTCTCACAGGACGCCAGTAAAGTCCAAAAGGCCCCTCAGGTTTACTAAAGCCAGAAATCAGTAGATGAAAGCTCAGGCCGAACTCAGGAATGGCCCCTTGTTCTGCCAGGAACCCCTGCCTGCCCTGAAGAGCCCCCACGGGCCTGGTAAGCCAGCTCCAGCCAGTGGCCAGTGAGCAAGACCTGAGTCATCGGTCTCACCGGCTCCCTGGCTCTTCCTATCTGCCAGGTAGAGGCTACGACATCAGCCTCAAGCACCCTGGCACAATATTGACGCTTTGATCTTAATGCATATAAAATTCTGAAAATTTTTAAATAAAATAAATCAACTGCCCCTCCACCCACCCTTCGGTGGTAAAAGAGATCTCTGGAAGACCTTTGAGTTTTAAGGGGAGCCTCTATTTCCTTTTTTGTGGAATAGCCCAATTACACCTACTGGATAGGATTGTTGAGGGGACCTGAGAAACTTGAGACGACAAGAACGCGTAGCGCCTCGGCTGGCTGAGGGTGCTGAGTGAGTAGTAGCACCTGACAGGCAGAGGACCCACCTCCTGCCTGGAATCATCAGCAACTGACAATGGTGCGAGTTCTACTCACCTTTAAACGCTGCAAATCGCACCACTGCTATTTGCTGTGGGGTATAACATGTGAGGGACCCTTTCTGTCATCGTCACCTTAGCCACTCTCTGCTCTCTGCCTTTCTTTTCAGGCCCTCGTGTTGTGTTCTCTCCAGCTTTCCCCGTGCCTCAGCCACTCTTCACGTTCCATCTCTGCTCTGTGCTGACCCGGTATGGTGGTGTGGGGAGAGCAATGGCTTTCAAGTTCAGGCTAGGGTTCAAATCCAGCTCTGCCACACGCTGGCGTGGGTTCTTGGGAAAGTCCTTCATGACTTTCAAGTTCCTCTTCTGTGATCTCCTGGGGGACGGGGGACCAAACCTGTCCACCATGAATCCTTAACATACAACGTGTGGCTGCACACATAGTAGATATTCAATAATAATGTTTGTAATAGCATTTAAATCCTCCAGGCTCTGTTCCAGGTACTTTTATGTATATTAAGTCATTTAATCTGCAGAACAGCACTATGATACAGGTGCTGTAATTATTCCAATTTTACCAGTAAGGAAACTAAAGCTTTTATTTATTGAATGAAATGAATAAATGAATGAATGTTTTCCATGGCAGATACAATAATTGTTTATGTCAAAGAGCCTGACCAAGTACCTAATACAGCACCTCTTCCATACCTTATGTCCACCCCACTTTCCATTTCTCCTAAGAACAGAAGGACAGAACTGTTGAACACCAAATCTCTACCCCTGGGCCAGGCAAAGCCACATGCCAGCCTCCCAGACAGATGGCACTCACAACTGTCTAGGCATGTACACGACTCCTCTAAAGGAGTGGGGGCTCTGATCTCAGGATAGAAATTACTCTGAACACCACCAAAAACACAAGAACAACAATACAACCAACTCTCCCATGACCACCTTCCTCTGGAGGTGCCTACTATGGTGACGCAAGGACTGTCAGACTCTGGGCAATGTCTAATAACCCAAGGTTCTTGGCACAAGATTGCCAGTAACTGTGCAGAAACAAATAGCCAGCATTGGGCAGCTGCCCTTTAAAGCATAGGGAATCAAAACCAGCTTCAAATGGTTTCTGACACACGGTAGGCATTTAGTAACTATTGAATTGGTTGGTAAGTTTCTGTGTGCCATTCTACATACATTAACCCCAAACTCCATAATAGTCCTGGGCATTGAGCATATTATCCCCATTTTACAGATGAGGAAACTGAGACTTCAATGTCCACAGACCTTGCCAAGCGGAAAGTGGTAGAATCAGAATTTCAACCCAGCTTGTCAAACAGCTGAGTTTGTGCTTTTGATATCATGTTATCTGGAATCAAATAACTGAAGGGCTGTTTTCTTTCTTTCTCCACTAAATGCCTTTTTTTTTGAGCATCAGCACCAAGACTGGTTCTTTCTTGCCCCTGTCATTCCCTCTATGATGCCAAAGTTCATCTGTAGGATCCAGTCCCTCTGGTTTTCTCTGCAGAATAGAAGGTGACCTGGGCTCTGCAGAACACCCAGGGCTGGAGGCCCTTTCAACTTATTGGCTGAGGAATGAGGATGTTACTTAACTGATGCATCCTTCAGGGGCCCTCTCGAAGGCTGTCTTGGGACTGTTGTCCCTCACTTCTTTCTCCTTTGGTGCAGCCTGTGACTCATACTGGACATCAGTCCACCCTGAATACTGGACTAAGCGCCATGTGTGGGAGTGGCTCCAGTTCTGCTGCGACCAGTACAAGTTGGACACCAATTGCATCTCCTTCTGCAACTTCAACATCAGTGGCCTGCAGCTGTGCAGCATGACACAGGAGGAGTTCGTCGAGGCAGCTGGCCTCTGCGGCGAGTACCTGTACTTCATCCTCCAGAACATCCGCACACAAGGTCAGTGTTCAGAGGGCCAGACCTCCAGGGGAGGGACCAGGATTAGGACCAAACAACTTTGAGAAGTCCTTTCCCATCGTGTGAATTGCACAGCAAAATTTTACTAACTGGAGTTCTCGTTAATCCAAACCTTCAATAACTGGAAGCTAGTATGCCAGAATTGGGGATTTTAGGGAAAAGGGAGCGAGTTACAAAAATGCAAATTGAGTGCATTTAAAAAAAGAGAAAGAAAAACGGACACCACGTTCAGGGACTGCCCAGGCACCAGGCTGATAATAATACAGTATATTCATAATGATTTGAAACCACACAGGATGGACAAAAAAGAGGTTTGTGCTTCATCTCTCATTAAGCAGAAGAGGAATAAAATTAAATAGACTACCTTCCCTTTTCTACAGGAGTCCAACTAATTATCATTTCATCACATTCCTAATGGTCAAGGATCAAGTGGCCAGAAGGTGGCGCCAATAGCATTATTTAACTCTTCAACAGGCCTTTTGCATGCAGAATGTCGATGAACATTTTTTCAATCCAGAAAGGTTCTTTGAGAACATCGAGCTCTAATGTCTCAAAGTCACACATAGATAAAGGAACTGATATCCTGAGACATTAAGTGACTTCCTCAAGGTCACACAGCAAACAGGGCTGATTCACAGAAAGTCAGTACAAAGCAAGGGCTTGGAGATCCGAAAGACCTGTGTTCCAACCCTGGCTCCAATACTCCGAGCTACGGAACCTCTGGCGAGTGGCTTAAGCTGTCTGAATCCCCACTGCCTCATCTGTCCAATGGGATAATGACACCTCCATGGGCTTTTTGAGAGGATTCAGGGAAATATTACCTAGAACAGCATATGAAGATGGAAATGCAGTAAATGGCAGCTGTTTTTCCATCATCATTAATATAATCAAGAGGCATATTATAGGATGTTAAAGGAAGCCTATCTCAGCTCAGTTTTAAGAAGGATCTTTTTAAAGGTTAGTACCTTCTTTTGAAAAGGTAATTCAGAAGATACAGGAGATAGGACGATCCCCACCACTGGAGATAATCAAGTAGTCTAATAGCCCCCTGCTTGAAGAGGAGGATATGACAGCGCCTCTTGTTTGCACAGAAAAACCACAGAGGACCCTCCTGCTCTGTGATTCTTTGGCCTCCTCTTGATCCTCATCCATCATGAGCGCTTGAAGGCAGAAAAGCTAAGAATGGTGGCCCTTGGGCACTACATGGCTGGGGCCCTGGGAGCCAAAACTCCAGTGACAATGACCTGCCAAGAGCTGGGATCTGTGTCCTGTGCTCAGAGTGGGCACTCCCTGAAAGAGGACAAGTTTGACCAAGTCACAACGGCTCCAGAAGAAGGAGCTTGGGACTCCATTTAGGATCCTCCCAAGGGAACAGGCTCGCACAAAAATCCTAGGGCCACAGAGAGGGGTGTATTTTATTCTGGAAAAAGATGCAGTTTGGCAATGCCAGCTTGGCCAAATGTCAAGTCAACCTCATTTGTCTCCATGCTCTTGTGCAGCCCCTGTGCTGGCATCTCCCACCACAAGCACCTCTCTTCCCTGGCAATGGTTGCATCAAAAAACAAACAAACAAAAAAAACCTGTTGGCCAGGCACAGTTGCTCAGGCCTGTAATCCCAATACTTTGGGAGGCTGAGGCAGGCAGATCATCTAAGGTCAGGAATTCGAGACAAGCCTGGCCAACATGGTGAAACCCCGTCTCTACTAAAAATACAAAATTAGACAGGCATGGTGGTGCGTGCCTATAATCCCAGTTACTCAGGAGGCTGAGGCATGAGAATCACTTGAACCCAGGAGGTGGAGGTTGCAAGTGAGCCGAGATTGCACCATTGCACTCCAGCCTGGGCAAAAAGAGCAAAATCCTGAAAAAAAAAAAAAAAACAAACCTGTCCCTGGTTTTATTACCCCAGGGCCCTGTGCAAAACTAATAGGCTAAACCTAAAAAAGCCAACTGCTTTTTAATAGGTCATACATTACCTCTTCTTATTGTAAGGAATTCCTGCAATCACAATGCCACCTTTAATGGTGGGATTTCAAGCACTCTCTAGGCCAGGAGTGTTCCATATTGAGCAGTAAAACTATCTACTCCACCAATCTACTCCATTCTGAAATTCCTCTTTTAATGTTTCTCAATCAGATATGTGGATTGTAGATTGTGGAGATATATATATTGTGATCAAAGTTCACACTGTCTCCCATTTGCCCAGGAGACATCGTTTCTGCCTGTGATCCTAGAGTAATTATTATTACCATAGCACTACCTTTCATCCTCAAAAGTGTCTCCATTTAGATCATAAATTCTACAGTTGACTGGGGGTTATTACCTCATGTATGCCTTATACTACCCCATAGGTTTTGACTCTGGCAGAACAGGACACAGAATAAGGCAGTTTTATGGAGGAGAGGAGCTGGAAGGGGGTTGTAAGGCCTCAGCACCATCCAGCTCGGTAGGTATTGCAGTAGGATTTAAGGGCCTAGCAACCTGGGGACACTGGTTGCTGGGAAGCAAGGTCAGAGGTTGGCTTCCACAGCCTAGGAGGGGAATGAGCCCCTCTTCAATCTCCCATCCTGTTCTCAGTCGGCCCTTTGGACAGAGTCAACTGAGGCGCGTGGCTGACCAAAACCAATGAGAACATGACGCCAAGAATAAAAAATCACAACTGTGCCCTGCTCCAGTCTGCTTAGCAAGTAGAGATTAGTCCTCGTGTTGGACCAAGCTAGGACATAGGTATCCTTCAGCCTAAACTGCTATGTGAAAACACAATCTCAAACTCCTCATTCAACCCCAGCCCACCCCATTCTACAGAGGAGAGAACCAAGGTCCTGACATCATCTTCCATATCCTCATTAAACTCAGCATTCACATAGAGCTTTGCACTTCTTGCAACCTCCTATGCCCATTCTCCCCACTGACCAGCACATAACAGGCATTCCAATCCCCAAGGGATTAGAGGCCATGTCAGAGACTATAGACTCTTAGCCACAGGGGAGCTTAGTGGGTATTTTATCTCGTGATGTCAATGAGAAAAACCAACAAGCCCAGAGACTGAGTGAGCAAGGCTGCACAGGGATCAGTAGCCCGGCCCAGCTCAGAGCCCAGCCCTGGACCCCAGACCAGAGCTTACTCCCCAGTGCCTGCTCAGAAAATCTGCAGAGGCTGCTGGGAAGCCTGGTTCTGGGTGCTCCCTCCAAATGACCTTTAATAATGAGGAAATTATCACCTCTCAGGGATGGCTTCAGGGTGACACTCTAAGACCAGATGGTCTCCAAGGTTCCCTCTAAATTGTAACCAACCTCAAGAGGGACAGTCACTCCACTTCCCTCCAACACCCCCTCTCCTGGCCTGGCCAGTGGAAACCAGGATTGCATGGTATGGTTTCTGGATTTCTTTTTCTTTCCCAGGTTACTCCTTTTTTAATGACGCTGAAGAAAGCAAGGCCACCATCAAAGACTGTAAGTAACCAAGCGCAAGCCACCCAAGGCTCTGTCAAGGTTGTCATTGGTACATGGGCTTGACCATTCTTTTAGGATCATACTGAAAAGCTGATGAACCAAAACAATCCCAGACCTGGAGAAAGCAGTGGGGAAAAGCGTGGTGGAAAGAGTGTGACAGAAAGAGCGTGGGTGTGGGTCTGTAGGACCATAGCTTGGGTCTATGGATTGCTTATCGTCTGAGACTCCATTCCCCTATCTGTAAAATAGTGTGACCCTTGTGGGTCGTGGTAAGTTTGAGAAATGATGCACACAAAGAGCCCAGCATGCGCCACCAGTGTAGATGCTCCCAAACCAGTATCCATTTGTCATACATTAATAATACTATTAGAAGCCTTGTGGTTCATAATGCTTAAGAAGACTCTGAGCTCACTAAGCAGGTAGAGTTTATAATTATAAGACGATGGAGGATCTCAAATAGCCTTGTTGATGCTGATGATTAACCTTCCCTGTTTCACTTGGGCAGATGAAGAAGGCTCGGGAAAGGGATCTTTGGTGCTTTCATTTTTCAAAGATGACAATGATGATTACTATTAGTTACTGAGTCCCTGGCCCAGAGGCCAGGAGGAAATGTGGTCCTGGGCAAACCCCATTCCCCCATGGGCTTCAGCTCAGTCATCTGCAGAGAGGGAGCAGAGCGCATGGTGATTTCCAAGGCCTCTGAGGGCTGCAAGCTGGAGGGGCAGACACAGAGGGACTGTTCTTATGGGTTATGATTTTTTCCTCCTTACAGTCCCAAACAATCAACTGAGGACTCACGTTACTTGGATCCTAGTTAACAAAAGTTTTTGGAATTTCGTTTTTCGTTTTGTTTTTGGTGCTTTAGCACAGGAATGGCCAGTTCGTGGACCACACGCTACGGGCTTAAGCAGGTGCACCCTGCTCTGCAGACCGCAGCTGCCCTCACACGAGCAGCTCTGCATTCTGCCAGGTTTCATCACTCGGGGCCCCGGGGTGTAGCATCTCACCCACCTGTGAACAAAGCTCACACACTGTTTCCTGGTGCTGGTAGAATCCCTTGTGATCCATCTGCAGCAGCCTGGGGGATGTAAATCCCAGCTTTTACCACCACACCTAACCCAGTCAAAGCCCCTGGAAGAAATGAGCCTGTGAAGCCTGGGAGACATTACTGTGGCCAAAGGCTTGAGCCACAGGCAGGCATTTGCTTTACTCTCTAAGTAGTAGTGACCTAGACCTGACCAACCCTTTCTCCAGGGGTCAGTGTCTTCACCTACAAATAGGAATCACTTACCAGCCTGCCTTCCACACGACAAAAGGAAGCTAATACAATGGAAAGAGAAGGTGTGTCCAGTAAGTTCTTTTGAAGTAGGTGTAACCTGAATATATAACTAGCCACAGTTAGATTCAATGTGCTGATGATTATGATGATGAGGATAAGGATGAGGATGACAGCTAGCATTTATTGAGTGCTTCCTATGAACCAGGCCCTGTGCTAATATCTTTATAGACATTGTGTCAGGTAATCTTCCCAATATGAGACAAGCCCTAGTGCTATAGCCTTTTTATAGGGGTAGAAACTGAAGCTTAGAGGTTAAAGGTGACATGCTTAGAAGGCAACAGATGACCCAGGTGTGTCTAAATCTAAAGCCCTTCATGCCTTTGCTCCCCTTACCCATTTATTTCTCTCCTGTTTCCTTCATTCTTTGAACAAACATTTATTGGACACTTACTATATGCCAGGCCCAGAGCTAGGCACTGTAGCTGTGGTGATGAGCACTATTTGAGTCTTGCTCTCATTGAGGCAAGGTCGGGGTAGAGATATTAAATAACCCAAATGATAAATACATAACTGCTCATCACGATGATATTATAAAGGGAAAGATCAGCATGTTTTGTGTGTAATGGGGAAAGATTGCATTTAAACTGGGTCCAGGGACAGCTATTTGGAGGAAGAGATAGTTGAATTAAAGCATGAGAAGAAGTTACCCAGGAAAAGAGAGAGAAGAAAAGGTTCCAAGCAGCGAATGGCCAGTGCGGAGGTCACGAGGTGGAACAATCTTGGTGTCTTAGAGAAAGAACCAAAGAAGGCCAGTGAGTCTAGCATTAGCTTGGCCAGTACAGTAGCCACTAGCCACACGGGGCCAGTTTAATTACTTAAGTTATATTAAAATTCAACTCCTCAGTTGCATAGCCAAATTTCAAGTGCTCAATAGCCACAGGTGGCTGCCATCTTGAACCGCTCAGATTCTACTGAGCGGTTCAATTCTGTGATAGTGGAGGCGTAATAACTTGTATAACACTCACGGCATCAGTAGTCTCAGCAGCATCAGCAGAAGGAGGGGTGGGAGCTGAGGCCGAGAGCAGGATAGGGCCAGATCACTCACCACTTTGTGGGCAGCAGAGTTAGGATTTCATTCTGAGCAAGCTGGGAAGCCACTGAAAGGTCATAAGCACGAAAGTGATCAGATCACATTTACATTTTAACATCTCTTGGGCTGCTATTGTCTGGGTCAGAAAGCAGTCTAGCCAGGATGCTCCTGCCCAGAGGAGTGATGATGATGGTGGCCTGGACCCAGCGATGGGGAAGAGATGGGGAGAAGTTTCTAGAAATAGAAGTGGTGGGGCAAGGGCTCTGGGCTAGCATCTCTGGAGCATGAACTCATGGAGACAAGCCCTCTGCTGATGGTTGGTGCCATGGGCTCTTCCCTGTCTGCTCCATTTGGGAGCCTAGAACTAGACTGAACTCAGGGTTAAGAAGTTTAAGTCCACCTGAGAGCCAGCCCCAGAGGCTTTGCCTTATTCCAGCCTCAATGCCCTGGCCAGGACACCATGGCCTTCCCCCGAGACCCCTGAGGACCATCTCTGGCTCTCCCCCAACCCTGATGATCATGCTTTCCCCAAACAGAAACCCTAATGGATAGTTTGATGGGCACAAGGGGAGGTATGAAGACGACAGGTTGGTAGTTTATACAATGAGCCCATTCCAGAAAGTCCAGGACACGTGATCATGGTGCCTATGGCTCAGGTGATGTTTCCTGATCTCAGATATTCCCTGACCCAAAAATGAGAGGCTGCCTTTCAGTGCTGATGTCCCATCCAAAGACCAAGACCTGGCCAATAAGGAAAGTGGCATCCTGGGGCTTTCAGCAATGTTCCCATTGGGTCTTCAACGAAAATGAATATAGCTGTCTTTACCATTTATTAAGCACTTACTATGTACTAAGCATAACACTGTGCCAAGTGTTCTGCTTACATTATCACATTTAATCCTTGTTCTAGCTCCATTAGGGAGTGTTATTATCTCCATTTGCATCTGAGGAAACTGGAGGTGTAATAACTTGCAAGTAAGTGCAGGGGTGAGATTCCAACACATTTCCTCAAAGCCTGTGCTTTTTACATTGTGTGCTATGCACACTCACACATGCACACACACACACACATATTCACATAGGCACACATGTTCCCATGCCCTTCTATTCACTCTGCTGCCCACTAAGTTGAGATCCAAGGCCTGGAAACTCCTCAAGTTCTGGGCCCAGCTTGACAATAATTCAAACAACAGGATGATTTTCAACTTAGTGCCCACTGAAGGTGCCCAGACACACAAGCTACAAAACTGTCAGAGCTGGCCAAAGTGAAACAACCCATTCCCTTTCTGCTTGGTCTCTTCTCTCCACCTGTCCCACTCCCCACCCACCTCCACTGCAGAAATGCCAGTAGAGGGTGTTCTGGGCCCAGGAACCAAGCCTACAGTCCTGGGTTCACTGCCAGGCACCTCCCTGCTCCTGAGCCTCAGAGCTTCTCTGCACCAGCCTGGCATGGGGTGTGGGCTCCATGGCTGGACTGCTAGTGTCATGGGGATACGATAAACTTGTTTCGGAAACCCTGCAACTCAGGCCCCCACCCCAGCTTCTGGAGTGCTTGCAATAAACAATTGAGGATACATCCTTTGGCCACATTTTAAAAGTGTCCAGGCTCAAGGCCAACCAAGCCTCTCCAAATCCCACAGACTGCAGAGAGCCTGGGCCATGTCTCCCCTCATCCCCCACCAGCTGCAGGGACATAGTCAAGATGACAAAAGTTGTGAGCAAGGGAGAGCTGCACCCTGAAACACAACTGGCATTTACAGAGAAATATAGTGGGTTCACGGTGGTGCTACAGATCCACCACCCAGCGCTGGTGGAGGTTGATTTGGGAACCTGCCTCAGTATTAACATTGCAGTAATGACTTTGGCCCCCTGCCCCTGCCACCACCAGCCAAGCAAGGCCTTGACTAGTCAACCAATGAGTACCTTCAAAGCCATCACTGCAGAACTAGGAACAGACAGAACAGGGTTATCTCGGCAAGACCCACGGAAGAAATTCCCATCAGCCTCATAAACCCCTCTCATGCTGATCTGTACTGTGTTCCTCCTACCAAGCCAGATCCCCTTCATCCAAAACATGGGAGAAATCATTAAAATCAAAAGGACAATGTTTTTCCTCCCACTTCTTGCCATTTTGGCATTTCAGTGAACGCTTGTTGTCTATTCACACTTAATAATTCACCTTTGTTTATGACTCCATTTGTTTTCTCTTCTCCTAAAAGATTAAATCAAAACAACAGATCGATCTGGGGGTAGTAATAGACATATCTCATAAGGGTGGGGAAGGTTGAGTGAGCATCTGACAATAGCAAATGCTCAACAAATCTTAGCTAATAATGGTTCATTAAATGTCTATTGAACACCTGCTGTGAAAGACATGATAAAGTAGTAGTTATGAACATTAGCTTTGCAATGAGAACTCTCTGGTTCCACCATCTGGAAAAGATTCTTAAGCTCTCTGGACTTCCAATCCCTCCTCAATAAAATGAAAATCATAATAGTATCACCCAGGGTTGTTATAAGTTTGAAATGAGATACTCTATGTGAAGCCCTTACCAAGCACTTGGCATTTAGTAAGTGCTCCGTAAATATCAGCTGATAGTGGAGGAGAAAAAGAGATGGATCTTTCCAGTAAGGTAGGCCCAGTGTTGTGATACCAAGGAACTCACAGGTGCTCTCTATGGGGCTCATAAGGGGTCTAACCCAGAGGGTCAGTTCAGAGAAGGCTTCCTGAAGAGGTCTTGTGAGAGGTCCGCTGGGTAGAAGTGGAGAGTGGGGAGTCTGTGCAAAGGTCCTGAGGCAGAAGAAAGCCTTGCCTCAATGGAACCATTTGACCTAAGGGAAGGGAAAAAGTTGGGAAGCAGAAAGAGATAAGACTGGAGATCTGGATGGGGGTCAGTCTGTGAAAGGCCTATCTAATGTGCAGCCTTCATCCTGGAAGAAATGGGGAACCACTGCAGGATGTTCAGCTGGCGAGGTGACATGACCCAGTGGCACTGAGAGAGGTCACCCTAAGCAGCAGTGTGGGGCACAGGATGTCATTCCTGCCCTTCCTTCATTCAGCAGTGACAGTGTACATACTAGACGATGCAGCAGGGATAGTTGTACAGTATAATATAGTATAGTATAGTATAGTATAGTATAGTATAGTATAGTATAGTTAGTATAGTGTAGCACAGTACAGTATAGTTAGTATACTACAGTACAGTGCAGTATAGTTAGTATAGTATAGTGCAGTATAGTTAGTATAGTATAGTACAGTAGAGTATAGTTAGTGCAGTCTAGTTCATATAGTACAGTATGTACAGTAGAATACAATATATGGTACAGTATAGTTAGTATAGTATAGTACAGTTATTACAGTATAGTGTGGTATGATTAGTATAGTATGCTACAGTATAATACAATATAGTGTAGTTGGTACAGTGCAGTATAGTTAGTATAATACAGTACAGTATAGTATAGCACAGTACAGTATAGTTAGTATAGTATACTATAGTATAATACAATATAGTATAGTTGGTACAGTGCAGTATAGTTAGTATAATACAGTACAGTATAGTATAGCACAGTACAGTATAGTTAGTATAGTATACTACAGTATAATACAATATAGTTAGTACAGTACAATACAGTTAATATAGTATAGTACAGTATAGTGTGGTACAGTAAATATAGTATACTACAGTGTAATGCAATATAGTATAGTTGGTACAGTACAGTACAGTTAGTATAGTATAGTACACTGTAGTATGGTGTTAGTACAGTACAGTAATAGAATAGTTAGTATAGTGCAGTACAGAACAGTGCAGTATGATATAGTATAGTATAGTTGTCATGGTATACTACAGTACAGTCAGTATAGTTAGTATGGTATAGTGCAGTATAATGTAGTTGGTGTAGTATAGTATAGTACAGTATAGCATAGTTAATATAGCATGGTACAGTACAGTATAGTTGGTATAGTATGCTACAGTACAGTATAGTTAGTACAGCATAGTATGTACAGCACAGGATAGTTAGTATAATATAGTACAGTATGGTGTGGTATAGTACAGTATAGTTAGTATAGTACAGTATGGTGTGGTATAGTACAATATAGTTAGCATAGTACAGTATGGAGTGGTATAGAACAGTATAGTTAGTATAGTGTGGTGCAGTACAGTTACTATAGCATAGCACAGTGGCTGCTCGATGATACTGAGCACCTACTATATGCCCGGCAGTGTGCTAGGTGCTGCAGGGTTATGTTGGGAAACACAAATCCCTGCCCCCTCGTGTGCACAGACAGACAGTGAACTTCATGAATAAATACACCATAGAATATGCTCGAATATTCTATGTAAAATGCGGAGCAGTGGGGAGGATGTGCAGACCCAACTTGAGTGGTCAGAGGAGACCTCACTGGAAGGTGATTTTGAAACAGGATTGAGATGAGGGCGTGCACCACAAGTATCCAAGGGAACAACGTGCAGGACAAGTGGAAGAGCAACTGCGAAGTCCCTGATGTGGAATGTGCCTGCACGTTTCTGGAGAGCCTGAAGCCAGGGTGGCTGGGGCAAAGCAAGCAGGGGGCTAAGAGAAGCGGTGGAGACGAGTGTGAGCTGGAGGGGCAGATCTGGTGCCACCATTTTAAAAACTCATATACTACTCTGGCAATGCTTGTCCTGGTGTCTCAGGTTGTGACTCACAGCCTGAGTTATTAGTTAAATCAGCACGGAGTTAACGTCTTGCTTTCTACCCTTCATAAGCTCTAGTCTCTTTGCTTCTACTTGTGTCTCTTCCAGTCTGTTCTCCACACAGGAGCAAGAGAGATCTTCTTAAATTGAGGATCTTTGCTCTACACTTTGATATAAAGTCCCAAGTCCTTACCATGGCCTCCTAGGAAGGCCCTGCACGGACCTCGATCAAAACCAGATTTATTTATTCTCATCAGGGTGGGGTGAGATTGAATACAAGTGCTCCTCAAAGGCACATCTTAAAGCATCTTGACACCTGCCACCTAGTAATCACCCCCAAAGTGCCTAATGTGGTGTCTTCTACTACAAAGGCATTCAATTAGTATTTGCTCATTTGGGTATGACTTGAGGTCTGAATGTGGCCTCTATATCCCTTTCCACTGCTATAAATTATTCTATTTCAGATGCTGATTCCAACTGCTTGAAAACAAGTGGCATCAAAAGTCAAGACTGTCACAGTCATAGTAGAACAAGTAAGTGCAGGATGCCAGTTTTCATTCTAATTTCTTAAAACCATTCCTCAGACAAAGTCATCTACTTTAATAAGCTTTGAAACTAAATGTTTGAGTTGGACCAGTTACTCCCCAAGGAAGGTAGTAAAGAAATCAGTGATTGCTTTTATACGTATTATCAAAGTCAGATTGATTTCTTCTCATACGAGTGGGTGAGATTAAGCATCTGACAATAGCAAACGCTAAACAAATCATAGCTAATAATTATCCATTAAATGTCTATTGAACACCTACTATGAAAGACATGATCGTAGTTGTGAACATTAGCTTTGGAATGAAAACCCCCTGGGTTCAAGTTCTGGCTCCACCATCTGGCGCCAGATCCAATCCTGGGTCCACTGTGGCTTCATCTCAGAGGAGGATAACAAAGAAAACACCGGGAATTGGCAATCCTATTAGCTTCCCCAGCACTAAGAGATCGGCCCAGAGCAGTGTCAAGCTTGTAATTTCACAAATGTGTGTGTAGAAAACAATTGCTATGTGCTGGGCATAATTCTAACCACTTGGTATGTATTAAATCATTAAATCCTCTAACCTGTCCTAGGAGACAGGTACTCTTTATTATCCCATTTTATAGATGAAGCAACCCTAAAAGTTTATGGTTATAAAGGTAGGAAGAGGTGAATTCAGGACCCAGACTCAGATAATGGGACTCCAGAGCTGGTCTTAACCACCATATCATAGAATAAGAGAAATACCAGCCTTTCATGAAAAACGAATTTGCAGGATCAGTCCACCCAGACAGTTGTGGCTGTGGAATCAGTACAACCATGCTGCCTGTCAGAAAGAAGAATGAAAAGATCATTTGACTGTCATTTCACTCATTCCATAAAAGTTAAACTGTAGTTCCATAGAACATCTGTGAGTCACAGTGTTGCCAGTCATGTAAATTGGGTGTCTCTGAATGTGTGTTTCACAATTGCTTCGATGGGAGACACAGACATGTCACAGCTCAGTAAGTTTCCAGGTAGAGCAATCAGTCATAACAATGGGAAATATTCCACAAAGCAGCAATTCTCATGACCTAGTGAGAAATTGTACATCTCTTCTCTTAAAATTAAAAAAACAAGCTGGGCACGGTGGCTCACACCTGTAATCCCAGCACTTTGGGAAGCTGAGGCGGGTACAACACCTGAGGTCAGGAGTTCGAGGCCAGCCTGGTCAACATGGCGAAACCCCATCTCTACTAAAAATACAAAAAATTAGCCAGGCATGATGGTAGGCACCTATAATCCCAGCTACTTGGGAGGCTGAGGCAGAAGAATCGCTTGAACCCAGGAGGCAGAGGTTGCAGTGAGCCGAGATCGCACCATTGCTCTCCAGCCTGGGCGACAGAGCAAGACTCTGTCTCAAAAAAATTAATTAATTAATTAATTAATTTAAAAAACAATGGTAAATAGTTAATGTTTTCCCCTTTTCAAAAGGCCTCCAAAGTTCTCATCTATGGGAATTTGTACGAGACCTGCTTCTATCTCCTGAAGAAAACTGTGGCATTCTGGAATGGGAAGATAGGGAACAAGGAATTTTTCGGGTGGTTAAATCGGAAGCCCTGGCAAAGATGTGGGGACAAAGGAAGAAAAATGACAGAATGACATATGAAAAGTTGAGCAGAGCCCTGAGGTAAGTTAATAGCATAAAATACTATGAGCCTTCAAGAAGAGTTATATACAATGGCTGGCTGTAGAAAATTACACTGTTTTTGCAGGTTTTTTACTTGATAATGGAAAGGTCATGAGACAAAACTTTGGTTCTTAGTTACAGGTAGGATTATGGTTTGTAAATTGACACGCTGTCCTTAGCATTCTTGGCAGCATTCCCCAGGGATCACTCTGAATCCAGGCCATCTCACACGCCCACACACACAAAGAAAAACACGTTTTGAGCTGAGAATGGTGAGGTTCAGTCTTCAAGATGTCTGGGAAAGGTTTAAGTGTAAGTTGATAACAGGGCATGAAAATACCAGGGTAACCAAAGACCAGCCTTGTCACCTGAGAGGAATGAGGAGACAGTGTTTGTGTTCTGTTGTTTTCCTAGGGTGCAAGCTCTCCCAGAATTTCTCTTCTGCTTGCTTTTTCAGATACTACTATAAAACAGGAATTTTGGAGCGGGTTGACCGAAGGTTAGTGTACAAATTTGGAAAAAATGCACACGGGTGGCAGGAAGACAAGCTATGATCTGCTCCAGGCATCAAGCTCATTTTATGGATTTCTGTCTTTTAAAACAATCAGATTGCAATAGACATTCGAAAGGCTTCATTTTCTTCTCTTTTTTTTTAACCTGCAAACATGCTGATAAAATTTCTCCACATCTCAGCTTACATTTGGATTCAGAGTTGTTGTCTATGGAGGGTGAGAGCAGAAACTCTTAAGAAATCCTTTCTTCTCCCTAAGGGGATGAGGGGATGATCTTTTGTGGTGTCTTGATCAAACTTTATTTTCCTAGAGTTGTGGAATGACAACAGCCCATGCCATTGATGCTGATCAGAGAAAAACTATTCAATTCTGCCATTAGAGACACATCCAATGCTCCCATCCCAAAGGTTCAAAAGTTTTCAAATAACTGTGGCAGCTCACCAAAGGTGGGGGAAAGCATGATTAGTTTGCAGGTTATGGTAGGAGAGGGTGAGATATAAGACATACATACTTTAGATTTTAAATTATTAAAGTCAAAAATCCATAGAAAAGTATCCCTTTTTTTTTTTTTGAGACGGGTTCTCACTATGTTGCCCAGGGCTGGTCTTGAACTCCTATGCTCAAGTGATCCTCCCACCTCAGCCTCCCAAAGTACTGTGATTACAAGCGTGAGCCACGGCACCTGGGCAGAAAAGTATCTTAATTAATGAAAGAGCTAAGCCATCAAGCTGGGACTTAATTGGATTTAACATAGGTTCACAGAAAGTTTCCTAACCAGAGCATCTTTTTGACCACTCAGCAAAACTTCCACAGACATCCTTCTGGACTTAAACACTTAACATTAACCACATTATTAATTGTTGCTGAGTTTATTCCCCCTTCTAACTGATGGCTGGCATCTGATATGCAGAGTTAGTCAACAGACACTGGCATCAATTACAAAATCACTGCTGTTTCTGTGATTCAAGCTGTCAACACAATAAAATCGAAATTCATTGATTCCATCTCAGGTCCAGATGTTAAACGTTTATAAAACCGGAAATGTCCTAACAACTCTGTAATGGCAAATTAAATTGTGTGTCTTTTTTGTTTTGTCTTTCTACCTGATGTGTATTCAAGCGCTATAACACGTATTTCCTTGACAAAAATAGTGACAGTGAATTCACACTAATAAATGTTCATAGGTTAAAGTCTGCACTGACATTTTCTCATCAATCACTGGTATGTAAGTTATCAGTGACTGACAGCTAGGTGGACTGCCCCTAGGACTTCTGTTTCACCAGAGCAGGAATCAAGTGGTGAGGCACTGAATCGCTGTACAGGCTGAAGACCTCCTTATTAGAGTTGAACTTCAAAGTAACTTGTTTTAAAAAATATGAATTACTGTAAAATAATCTATTTTGGATTCATGTGTTTTCCAGGTGGATATAGTTTGTAAACAATGTGAATAAAGTATTTAACATGTTCAACTGTCTGTGTATCATTCAATTCAGCATGGTAGCCTCAGCAAAACACTGACAACCTGTAAAACCTTTGGTGATTCTTCCATTTCCTAGCAGGTGTGGTTGGAGATTTATCTTTTATTTTTGGAGATGGGTTCTTGCTTGTTGCCCAAGCCGTCCTCTAACTCCTGGGCTCAAGTGATCCTCCCGTCTCAACCTCCCAAGTACCTGGATTACTATGAACTTTTGCTAAATCCACACCACACCTGGCAGGCTGGAGATTTTTAAAGAGCCCAAAAAGGTGCAAGAAATATATGGAGTAATCTTACCCTCCACCTTTAATATCATAAGACAGAGGTTCCCATGACAAAATGGAGTTCATTGACGCACATAGCCTACAGATGCATTTTTGTTTGGTGCACATAGTATTGTCTGTTTTCTTGAGGTTTTCTTTTATTTCTTACTGTTACTTCATTGCCTAATTTAGAAATCGAAAGATTCACCTAAAAATCCAGGTTTCTAGCTTCTCTTTTAAAATCATATCTGGCAACACTAGTTTCTCAGTCTCTTGTGGTGGTAATTTCCTGGAGCTAAATTGAAGTTGCACCTTTGGACAGAGGATTTGGTTACTTCCTACTGCCTTCTGGACACGCAGGTTGTCAGCTGCCATTCAACTTTGTTCTTGCACTATTGATGGTGGTTGTTAAAACATCCAGAATGCCTTTACATTTTGAATGTGGGACCCACGTCCTGGCCACCTGAAGATGTAAGTACCATGTTAATGGACCACAGTCAGGATGAAAGGAAAGACTGTCCAGGAGAAGAGAAATTAGCTAACAGGAGGGAAATAGGGAGTTTTCAGGCAAGAGCTTGGCAGTGACAATAAAGCAGAGCCAAGCATCTCAGGAGCATGGCAGGGACTGGGGTGGGACAAACAGGCAGAAGTGGGCAGGACTGCAGAGAAACACACTGTCTGGATGTGGATGCTTTCCCTCCCACTCCCTGGGCACCAAGCAGTTCAGAGAACAAAAACATTCGTTCTTCTTGCTACTCAAGAAATTTTCATTTTATAAAACCATTAAACTAGCATCCTCTTTGCATTAGCTTTCTAGGGTTGCCTGTGACAAATTATCAAAATTGGTGGCTTCAAACAACAGAAATATCTTCTTTCACCCTTCTGGAGGCAACAAGTCTGAAATCAAGGAAGCCATAGGCTCTAAGAAAGAATCCTTCCAAAAAAAAAGAAAAAGAAAGAAAGAAAAGAAAAGAAAAAAGAAAAAAAAGAAGAAGAAAGAATCCTTCCCTTCTTCTTCCTCTTCTGGTGACTCCAGGCATTTTGTGGCTTGTGGCTGCAAAACTCCAATCTCTGCCTCGGTCTCCACATAACCTGCTCCTTCTTCTCCCCTTTGGTCTCTTAGAAGGACACTTATTATTTGATTTAGGCCCCACCTGAGTAATCAGGATAACTTCCTCTTGATCTTTTTTTTTTTTTTTGACACAAAGTTTTGCTCTTATCACCCAGGCTGGAGTGCAGTGGTGCAATCTTGGCTCACGGCAACCTCTGCCTCCCGGATTCAAGTGATTGTCCTGCCTCAGCCTCCCTACCTGAGACTACAGGCACACACCACCATGCCTGGCTAATTTTTTGTATTTTTTAGTAGAGATGGGGTTCCACTATGTTGGCCAGGCTGATTTCAAACTCCTGACCTCAGGTGATTCGCCTGCCCAGGCCTCCCAAAGTGCTAGGATTACAGGCGTGAGCCACCACGCCCAGTTTCCTCTTGATCTGTAACTTATGACATTGCAAAGATCCTTTTTCCAAATGAGTCACACTCACAGGTTCCAAGGATTAGAACATGGATATATCTTTTGGGGGATCACTGTCCAATTCACCACACTCTTTAAAGTAAGAGTTTTACTTAAACATATAGCTCCATAATACAATTCATTGAAGGACAGAAAATACAAGGGACTGTTTAAAATGCCACACTTGGCCCAGCACCGTGGCACACACCTGTAATCCCAGAACTTTGGGAGGGAAAGACAGGCAGATCGCTTGAGCTTAAGAGTTCGAGACTTGCCTGGCCAACATGATGAAACCCCATCTCTACAAAAATTACAAAAATTGGCTGGGCGTGGGGGTGTGCACCTATAGTCCCAGCTACTAGGGAGGCTGAGGCGGGAGGATCGCTTGAGCCCAGAAGGTTGAGGCTGCAGTAAGCTGTGATGGTGCCACTGCACTCAAGTCTGAGTGACAGAGTGAGACGCTGTCTCAAAAAAATAAATAAAATATTACACTTTGAGCAAACAATACCAAAGCAAAACAACAAAAAATTAAAGCAATAGATAATGCAAAATTCAGTTATCAAATAGTCAAATGAGGGAATAAGTACTTGCTTTGTTAAAAGGATCTGCAATAGAACTTTCCATAGCAAACTTCCCATATATTAATATGTGATTGTTTACATTTTTCAGAGGTTCAAAATTATACAGAGCTGGCCACGTGCAGTGGCTCACACCTGTCAATCCCAGTACTTCGAAAGGCCAAGGCGGGCAGATCACTTGAGGTCAGGAATTCGAGGCCAGCCTGGCCAACATGGTGAAACTCTGTCTCTACTAAAAATACAAAAATTAGCTGGACATGGTGGGGTGCATCTGTAATCCCAGCTACTCGGGGGCTGAGACACGAGAGTCACTTGAACTCGATTCAAGCGATTACAGAGGTGGAGGTTGCAGTGAGCCCAAGATCATGCCACTGCACTCCAGCCTGGGCAGGAGAGTGAGAATCCACCTTAAAAAAAAAAAAAAAAAAAAAAAAAACGAATTATACAGAACTTTTTAAGTTGACTTCCACTAACCCCTCACATCTTTAAAAGCACTGATTTAAAAAAAAACGTTAAGGCCTTCAGTTTGGCTTACCAGAGAGTTTAAAGTGGAATTTGGCTCTTTGCCCTTTGGTAATGCCACGAACTAAGAGGCAAAGAAATGGCCCAAGTAGCTTGCTTGTGGCTTTTCTCCCAGAAAAATGAGTGCTAAGAAGTTCTTAAAACACTTCCATAGTACAAATCACAAATCAGAGTGATGCCCTTTACCCAGGAAAGAAAACATTAATGTGGTTGGTCTTGTTTTTGTTTTTTGTGATTGAGTCTCACTCTGTTGCCCAGGCTGGTGTGCAGTGGCACAATCTTGGCTCACTGCAACCTCTCCCTCCTGGGTTCAAGCAATTCTCCTGCCTCAGTCTCCTGAGTAGGTGGGACTACAGGTGTGTACCACCGCACCCAGCTAATTTTTTGTATTTTTAGTAAAGATGGGGTTTCACCATGTTGGTCAGGCTGGTCTCAAACTCCTGACCTCAAATGATCTCCCCTCCTCAGCCTCCCAAAGTGCTGGGCTTACAGGCATGAACCACCGTGCCTGGCCGAATTAATGTGTTTTTAAACCAAAATCCTGACATTTATTTGAAACAAACTAGGCAATCCTTCACAGTGCTTCTAAAAGCCCAGACCAAGCCCTCCTTTTAGAAGAGCAAGTCTCATGAGCAGCGTGAGGTCAGAGATGATCAGGTCCATGCACATTTGTGTCTTTCCACAATGTCTGACTTTCTTGAAGTAATCTCAATCACAAAAGCCACGAGCTGCACGGAGTTCCTAAGGAGGCAGTTTGCCTCAGTGCTTCCCATTTGCTCGATAGTCAGAGCTGCAGTCACACAGGCTCAAGCCACTCCACAAGTCAGTCAATGTGGCAGATCATACATAATAGTATACTTAAAATATAAATGTTATAGATTAAACATGCCACAACAAAGTAATATTGAACATCAAAAGAAGAAGGATAGGAAGAAAGGGTTAATGAATCAATTCAGGGAGAGCGACTAAGGCAAAAAGAATCTCCTGGTCTGCGCCAGGCAGTCCGAGAGCCTTCAGTGGCAGATGCCAGGTGATTATCATGATTAACAGCAAGATGGTGTAGTTAAGACGGCCATTTCAAGCTGCGCAAGTCCTGTTCTTTTTATAGCCACAGTCCTCTAGTGAGGACTGAGAGTGGAAAAGTGTGCTTGTTGATGTCCTCATCTGGTTGGATGCAGTCTTTATTTATTAAGCAAACATCTTGTCCCTGTTCGCAAAGTGCCCTATGAAATATAAGATGGAGTCTCTAAGATGGAGTTACTTATGTCAAGGGGCTTGACACAGCAAAAGAACAGATTTTTATATATTAAGAGTCTAATATTTACATTTTTAGATAGTGGTGTGGCAGAGTGTAGGTGAAAAACACCTTTTTTTTTTTTTGAGACGGAGTCTCGCTCTGTCACCCAGGCTGGAGTGCAGTGGCGCAATCGGCTCACTGCAACCTCCGCCTCCCAGGTTCAAGCAATTTTCCTGCCTCAGCCTCCTGACTGGCTGGGATTACTGGCGCCTGCCACCACGCCCAGCTAATTTTTTTTTGTATTTTTATTAGAGATGGGGTTTCACCATAGTGGCCAGGCTGCTCTTGAACTCTTGACCTCGTGATCCGCCCGCCTCAGCCTTCCAAAGTGCTGGCATTACAGGTGGCAGCCACCGCACCCAGCCAGAAAAACACCTTTTAAGATGAGAATGCAAGAAATGAAAATGTTATGTCCACACAAAAATATGTACAGAAATGTTCATACCAGCACTATTCATAATAGCCAAAAAGTAGAAACAATCCAAATGTCCATCAAATGATAAACGGATAAATAAAACATAGTAAATCCATAAAATGGAATATTATTTGGCAATTAAAAAAATGAAGCACTCATAGATGCTACAATATGTAAGAATCTTGAAAATATTATGCTAAGTGAAAGAAGCCAGTCACAAAAGACCACATACTATATTATTCCATTTAAATGAAACATGCAGAGTAGGCAAATCTTAGATTCATGATGGCCTAGGGCTGGGGACTAGGTTAAGAAAGAAATGGAGAGTGGCTGCTGATAGGTACAGGTTTCCCTTTGGGGTGATGAAAATGCTCCAAAATTGATTGTGGTGATGGTTGCGCAATTCTGTGAATATACAAAAAAAATTTACTCGTACACTTTAAATGGGTGGTTTTTACGGTATGTGAATTATATCTCAATAAAGCTCTTATTTTAAAAAAGAGAGAGAAGAAAAAAGGAAGAAGGAAGAAAAAAAAAGGAGGAGGATGAGGGCAAGGACAAGAAGAAGAGAGAGGAGGAGGAGGAAGAAAAATGAGGAGGAGGAGAAAGGGACGAGGAGGAAAGCTGGGCATGGTGATGTGTGCCTGTAGTCCCAGTTACTCAGGAGGCAGAGGCCACCCTGGGCAACATAATGATATGCCGTCTCTAAAATAAATAAACAATGAAGAAGGCAGTGTGAACGACCAACTGTGTCAAACACCGCTGAGAGGTCATGTAAGACAAGGACTAAGAATGGACCATTGGATTTTTTTGTGGGGTAAAATATACACAAAACTTACCATTTAGCCATTTTTAGGTGTACAGTTCAGTAGCATTAAATACATTCACACTGTTGTGCAACCATCACCACCAACCATCTCCAGAAGTTCTCACCTTTCCCAATAAAAAGTGCAGTGGCGCAATCTTGGCTCACTGCAACCTCCACCTCCTGGGTTCAAGCGATTCTCCCACCTCAGCCTCACGAGTAGCTGGGATTACACGCACATGCCACCACACCCAGCTAATTTTTGTATTTTTAGTAGAAATGGGGTTTCACCACGTTGGCCAGGCTGATCTCAAACTCCTGACCTCAGGTGTTCCACCCGCCTTGGCCTCCCAAAGTGCTGGGTTTACAGGCGTGAGCCACTGCACCCAGCCCGATATATCTATTTTCTATGTCTACAAATATAACAGTCTCAAAGCATACTCAAATACGGGGGGAATTAGGCAGGAGGGTTTGACAGAGGAGTAAAGAAATTTGAGCTAAAAGACCAAGAATGAGTTTGTATCTGTCTGCTAGTGGTCTGTTTCCTGAAGCCCGTAACTCAGGAACTCCTGAAAGTATAAACTGGTTTGGTTTTTTGTTTTTAGTTGTTATTGTTGTTGTTTTCAGACAAGGTCTCACTCTGTTGCCCAGACTGGAGTGCAGTGGTGCAATCACGACTCACTGCAGCCTCAACCTCCTGGGCTCAAGAGATCCTCCCGCCTCAGCCTCCCTAGTAACTGGGACTACAGGCATGCGTTACCATACTCGGCTAATTTTTGTATTTTTTGTACAGACAGGGCTTCGCCATGTTGCCCCGGCTGGTCTCAAACTCCTGAGTTCAAGTGATCCTCCTGCCTTGGCTTCCCAAAGTGCTGGGTTTACAGGCATATGAGCCACCACACCCGGCACAAACTGGTTTTGAATATGAACGGAATAAAGATTTTCAAGGAAAACAAATTTTCATTTAGTATTCAGAACTCATCTTTAAAGTCTTCCATGTGATTTTCAACCATGATAGGCAAATATGGGCTTTAAAAAGAAGGAAGAGGAAAGTGACCAGTGGTTCTGAGCCCTTGTTTTAAAAAGTCAATCACAGGTAAGTGAGCAAATGGACAAGAGATTTAAGTAATTTTCAAAGTTGGGGCATTTGCTATTTTATCAGTGTCTCAGAAGGCTGTCCAAAGGCTATAGATTTAAACAAATAACATGGAGTCCTCGAGATACTGGCATTTCCATTTTTAAGGGTAAACATCTGAAAATGATGATGTTCAAATTAAGAGTCTGGTAGCAGTTTACAGTTACATATGGAGTCGAAAGAAAGAAAATACCATCTCTGTTCTTACGTACAGATTATTTATTGTAAAAATGTAAGCAATTACAAATTGATCTGTTGTGAAATCAGTGCTGAATTAACATTAATGTAACTCCAGTGAAAAAAATGAATTTGATCAATTATTATCAGGAATAAACATTAAGCCATGACGGTGCTCAAGTTATCTTCTGATGACACTGCTGTATTAAATGTACTTTTCCTATGAGAACCTTAGAAAAATAAAAATTTCTGAGTAGATCATCTTTATCTTTTCTTTTTATATATTTATAGCCATATTTTAATATAATAGGCCATGAGGTGATATGTAAACATACATAATTTCAACAAATTTTGTCAAATAAAATCATATTTCTAGCTAGAAACTTGCCTTCTAATCATTTTAAATGAATAATCCAATCATCCGTCAAAACAAATTTTTTTTTTAAATGACTGTTAAATCCTAACCTTCATTTTCCCCTGGGGAAATAGCATTAAAATTGTTACACAATCTGCTATAGAAAGTGGGATTCTCTATTTTGAAGCCACTAGCTTGCATTTGCACATCTAGCACAGGAGAATCTTCATCCAGTGATGAGCGGGTTACACGGATGAACGCTAAGCTTCGCTGCACAGGTGCAGGGCCCCGGCCTCACAGATTTGCCTTCTCCCTTGCCGCCAAGTGAGATCCGGACTGCACAAAGGTGTGAATCGCATTCTGTTTTAAAAGAACAAGATGAGCAGGTTAATCACCTCATGGGCAGCAACGTGATATTTACTCAGTTTTAATATGTATGCAAATGAAAATAATAATTCAGAATTCATTCACTTTAACTGTCTTAAATTGCCCAGCGCTAAAATGAAGAGTATGTGTTTTGCCAGTGAATTCTTTATCTCTCAAATGAATTTCTGCACAGCTGCCTAAGAAATCTAACAGTGGCAGGTAATGGCCCCTGCAGACTGTAATGCTAAGTGGTAACTAAGTCATGCCTACTCCAACCCAGCACACACAGCCTCTGCATGGCCAGGCTGCTCCCAGCTTACCTTAGGCTTCTCAGCATTGTACTTGTCCAGAAGAGCCTGGATGTGGCTCCCGTAGTCAGGGTGGACCTCAGTGAAGTTCTTGACCTAAGGCCAAAGGAAAATAAATGCAAGCATTACTCTAACTCCCTACTATATCACTCCCCAGGGACTGTGGTTTCCCAGTGTTTATTCCATAGGGGAGGAAAGACGTTTCAGCAGGAGGCAGTACTACAGGTGTTTAACAATGCCAGCCTCAGAGTTAAGATGCAGGTCCAGTGAACACTCTGACATATACTGGCTGAGCAACCTCGGATAGGTCACTTAACTTACTGAGCTTATGTCCCTCTGCCGAAATGCGCAAGAAAATGACACCTAATCAGTATAATTTTAAAAATACTATTTGGTCTTTGTCCCCCATTCCTGACACAGATCTAAAACCCTTCGAATGTACTGTCTTTTATATACTACTAAGATGATTCATGGGGGCCTACATAGATTCCTGATGGAGGCTCACACCAGGAAGAACAAGCACGCGATCAGAAGGTTAGAACTTCTAGCCCCACCCCCAAACCTCCAGGGATGGGAGAGGGGCTGGAGATTGTATTCAATCACCCATAGCCAATAATTTCATCAATCATGCCTATGTCATAAAACCTCCAGAAAAACCCACAACTGGCAAGGTCAGGGAGTGTCTGGATTAGTGCACACATCCAGGAGCTAGAAGGGTGGTCCACTCAGGGAGGCACAGAAGCTCCGAGGCCTTCCCCCATGCCCCTCTTCCATTTGTCTATTCCTGAGTTGTATTCTTTATAATAAATTGGTAATCATAAGTAAATCATTTTCCTGAGTTCTATGAGTCTTTCCAGCAAATTATCAAACCTGAGGAAAGGGTTTGATTTGCAGTCAGAATCTGCAGAAGTGTGCATAGCCAGGGTACCTCATTTGTTATCTAAAGTGGGAAATGACCCCTAAATCTTTGGGTTCTGACTCTAGCTCCAGGAGCTACTGTTAGAATTGAATTGAGTTATAGGACACACAGTTACTGTCAAAGAATTACAGAATTGCTTATTGTCGGGGAAAAAAACCCATACAACCTAGGCCAGGCGCAGTGGCTCACGCCCGAAATCCCAGCACTTTGGGAGGCCAAGATGGGTGGATCACCTGAGGTCAGTAGTTCAAGACCAGCCTGGTTAACATGGCAAAACCCCATCTCTACTAAAAACACAAAAATTAGTCGGGCATGGTGGGGCATGCCTGTAGTCCAAGCTACTGGGGAGGCTGAGGCAGGAAAATCTCTTGAACCCAGGAGGCAGAGGTTGCAGTGAGCCGAGATCATGCCACTGCAGTCCAGCCTGGGTGACAGAACAAGACTCCATCTTAAAAAAAAAAAACCCACACAACCTACCTCACAGGATGCTGTGAGAAAAATGCTGAGAAGTGAGGTGCATTTACTGCATGAAAAGAGCTGACCTCAGAGTAAGCGCTTAACAAATTACAGTGATTTACATTGAGAAACGGGCCCAGACACAGCCTAAAGTTAATGTGAAGGATACAAGAACACTGGTACATGCAGCACAACTCCACACACTTCAGGCAGGAATTCCCCAGTGGACAGCAAGAGGAGGCAGGGCATTGGGAACCCATAAAAGCCTTACAGTTTCAGCATATGTGAAAGGAGAATGCCAAGGGTTCCAGCCCAGTTCTGCTATTTACAAGCTGTCGTATCCATTCTCTCCAGTAAAAGGAGATAAATCCTGCCCTGCCTACCACACAGAGCGCCTGTCAAGCTCTCTGCTGATACTGGAACCCAGGCTCTGGGACACAGCCCAGACAGCTGCTAGCCCAGCTGCCCCTAGGAACTGAGAAGCAGCAACTAGGGGCCAAGGAAAAAGGGGGATTTCTAGATTTGCAAAAAGCTTAGCTCTGGGACAGGCCAGGAAACCAGAAGTGAGAGGGCTTCACTCAGCTCGATGAGCGGCCATCAGAAATACCCCAGCACCTTAGCATGAAAGTCTAGCCTGCCTTTTGGAAGCATTGCAGTTCTTATTCCAGAAATCATGCAAATTTCTAGTCTGCATCTGAAGGAGGATCGAGGTATTATGACATTAAGCCTTTAGGCAGGTTTTAAACCATAAAAATGCAAAAAAGAAAGACAGACTGATTGACTGATTGACTGATTTTAGAGACAGGGTCTCCCTATGTTGTCCAGGCTGGCCCTGTATTCCTGGGCTCAAGCGATCCTCCCATCTCAACCTCCTAAGTAGCTAGGACTACAGGTGCATGCCATCACACCGGCTGATATATTTATTATCATCCAAAGTTTAAGTAGAATTGCAGCAGGACTCACATTTTGATATTGCACATTTACTATCTTGCACAGAACTTGGCTGCAGCTGAATTAAACAGAATAGGACAAAATTCAGTCTGAACACAACTAAATTAGTACACACTGGACAAACAGCTAAGGACGATGGATATGCCAGACCAGATAAAACATGGAAAGAAAATAATCAGAAGTTGGTTGGGGATTACTAGTTTATTTTTTTTTTTTTAAGTTCTCTTAAGTCAAGTAAAACAGAAATGGCACTTTCTTTTTAGGGTTCTCCCACACAGCTGCACTGTCTTCCTTAGCCAGCAGAGGACACCCTTCAGCTTACAAAGACTCACCGCTTTCTTCTGGATGAAAATTTGTGCATCCTTCAGGTGGCCGGCAATGTTCTCACACAGACGTTTCCTCTGTTCCTCATTCAGCACGTTCACATAGAATGCCCGCACCTGCTCAGAGAAAAGAGCAAGTGCAGAGAATTGAATCACCAGTTTATCACCAACAAAATTCACCTACTACAACACTTAGGAAATCAATGATAAAAAAAACTTTAGAAGTTAAGAATAATTTTAAATTTTAAATTTGGGTTGTGTCCTTCACTTTTTGTTTTAAGCAAAATAAGTAAAATTCATTTGTTAATAGCTCATACCTGCTTTCTAATAATATCCTTTATAGTAACTGCTATAAATCTCTTATAAATAGATCTACAATTTAAAACCTCACCACATTCTTAATACTGACAAGTCTAAAATGTGCAAGCTGCCTTTGAATGTAAACTTAGCACAATACCTTTGTTCAATTCTCCCAGAACCATGGAGGAAAATTAACTAATTTAGCTAGAGATATAATTTGATATATAGATAATTATATCTATATATAGACATCTAAAAAACTACCTCATTTATACATGTGTATCTGTAGTTATTCAGAAGCCAATATTTCTTAAGCAAGACATATTAATAGTGATATTTTGCTAGATTATTGGGTTGACCTCTAAAATAAATATCCATAAATTAAAATGAAAAATAGGAGCTTAGTATCAGATATGTGAATCCGAGCAGCCTCTGCCCCATTCTGAAATCAAAAGGTTGTAGCTATGATTTTATTCTTACATTTCATTCATTCATTCCACTCATTCAACAAATATTGAGTATCTATAATGTGCGAGACTCTGTTCTACGTGCTGTTCTATTAATGTTTATGAAGTCCAATAATATCCAATTATCCAAAGTATCAACTTCATAAAATATTAAGAGATGCATCATTTCCATAAGTCATCAAATATCAGGCTATAATTATGTTTTTAAATTTTTGAGTAAAGTTTAAACCTGATACCAAAGTTAATCAGACATTTTCGATTAACACAATCTAATCAAAGTACTATATCCTGGGGATTTCCTCAGACCTATCTCCAATTCACTAATTCTCTCTTCAGCTGTATTTGACATATTGCGTGAAAACATCGACTGGGTCACTATATCTGTTGACTTTTTATTTCACAGATTGTAATTTTTGTTTCTAGAAAATATTATTTGGTTATTTTTCAAATCTACCTGTTTTTCTCCTCATATCCTATTGTCTTAATAATATTCCTTTTTTGCATCTCTTTAAATATGTATGTTTATTTTAAAGCCTCTTTCCAATTATCATGTCTATGATTCTTCCATCTATTATTGCATGTGTAATTTCTCATTGGATTTCCTTGTATGTATTCTAATTTTTCACTATGACTCATCAGATGAAGTAGTCTTGATAACATCTATTGTTCTATCTTCCAATTCACTAATCTTCTCTTCAGCCATGTTAACCTCCTTTAAAAGCCATCTATTAAATTCTAATTTCAGTTGTTACATTTTCTAGTTATGTCCATTCAACTCTTTTTCTATAGCTTAAAGTTCTCTTACTAAATTCTTCAAGCAGTCATCTATTTTCTTTTTTTTTTTTTTTTTTTTTTTTGAGACGGAGTCTCGCTCTGTCGCCCAGGCTGGAGTGCAGTGGCGCGATCTCGGCTCACTGCAAGCTCCGCCTCCCGGGTTCACGCCATTCTCCTGCCTCAGCCTCCTGAGTAGCTGGGACTACAGGCGCCCGCCACCACGCCCGGCTAATTTTTTTTTTGTATTTTTAGTAGAGACGGGGTTTCACCGTGTTAGCCAGGATGGTCTTGATCTCCTGACCTCGTGATCCGCCCACCTCAGCCTCCCAAAGTGCTGGGATTACAGGCGTGAGCCACCGCGCCCAGCCCATCTATTTTCTCAAACCTATTAATCAGTCATTTTAAAACCTGTATCTGACAGTTCCATTATTTAAGCCTCCATTAGGTTTGTTTCTACTGTCAGTTTGTAGGGGGTTTTTTCTCCCTCTTGATTTTCAGTCATAAGGTCTTAATGTGTTAGGTGCCTGGTCATTTATTGTTGAATGCTGAACATTTCCATATAAAAAGGTCTAGAATCATTTGAGTTTCTATTTTCCACCAAAGAAAATTTTGTTTGCTTCTGACAGATGGCGTAGAAAGAGATCACCTTAATCCAATCTGAGACTGAGCAGAGGCAAAGTTATGTTTCCTGTATTGTGAAAGCAAGTTTATTTCATGTTTGCCCTTATTCCTAGGCATGGCCCTTTAAGGATTTCAACTGAAAGCCTTGAGTATAACTAGAGGCTCTGCTTCTTAGCAGACCTTGAATTCCAATTTTTGTCCCTTCAGACTCATGAGACTGCTGTAAACACCACTCAGCTTCTGGACCAGTGCTTACAAATTAACAAATACCTTAAGAGGAAAGGAAACCAAATGTCAAGCTTACTTCACTGCACTTTTTTTTCCTGCACTTCTTTTCCATCTTTGATCTTGGTCCCTTAAATCCTTGTTGCTTTGTTAGCTCTCCAAAGCCTTCAAACAAGTGCTTTATGTATTTTACCTACCTTTTCAATGTTCTCCATGAAACGGTAAGTAAGATACAAGCTAGTCTGCCATAGACAGATGCAAGCCCAAGTGAATCATTTTTAAGAGAATAAATCTGGACCTTCTTATGTATTTCCCATGTGATACATCATCACAGAATTATGCTATGAATCTATAACAATAGTATTGTGATTACTTAAAAACCACACTATATCCTATATAGTGATAAGAAATTCTCTCAATAAGAATGAGCACATAATAAATTTTCATGTGTAAGCAATAGCCTCATTAATTTTTGCAGGGGTTGTATGAGCTGGTTTAATACCTGTATTGACCTCACATAGGCAAAATTCTTTGAGAGGCAGGGAATGTACTGTAATATACTTGGTGTCATCTGCATCACCAAAAATAATGCAGTTACATAAAAGGTATGCAGGAAATGTTTTAAGCTCATCTAAAAATGGTTTATATCCCACAATAATGTAATTTCTTTTTTATATATACGTATATATGTATATACGTAAATGCTTTTCAAGCAAAGATATCCTCACAGCGAATTAATTCATGTATAAGTATTTTTTACTTGGAACCCACATTCACAAACTGAGAAACTAGAAATAGGTTCTAATCTAATTTAAATACTAAGTTTAACACTAACTGCTCAAACAGAGCTCTAGAACAACTATACCTTTAACTTTATTATTTTATTGTGTGTGGTATAAGTTGCACTGGACACATTAAGGAGGCAGCTGCCCACCTACAGCCCTTCCAAGTCCAAGGGCCTCCTTCATAGCATGTGCTGAAACAGCTCTTAGGGCAGCCATAGGCAACTGGAAAGAGGATGAGCATTTGCCCTGGGGCGGTTAACTAGAGCCTGACCAAGGCCAATGGTGCAACCTGGGGTGAAAAGATTAGCCAAGTCAATAGGATTCCATCTCTCTAGAATCTAGAGATAGACATGTTGAGAGAAGGAGTAAAAGGTGGTCCAAAAAAAAAAAGTAATAATGGAGAAAGACGCCATAAAGGAGAGTTTTCCATTGTTGTGGAAGAGCCACAACCATGATAAAACAGAAGCTCTGACGCAGATAGGAGAAAACAGGAAGCTGTGGTAAAAATAATCAATTAGCATTGGCAAGCAGAAGCAGACAGATGGAGAATAAGCCACGTGAAGGACGAGCCCTGCAGTGGAAACGCCCACACTCTTGTGGCCGAGGCTCCTGGAGCTATTTTGGATCTCTAGTTCTAGTCCTTGAACCTGGACTGTCCTGCCCAGATTCTTAGATTTGTCTCCACGTAAGCTGTACATGCTCATTTCTTAAATTCCCATGAGATAACTGTTTCCCCAATGCCCCCTCCCCATATCCCTTCAATAAAGTTTGAAGAAACTGAGACGGAGTCTGCATGCTTTGAGGCAAAAGACCAGAGTAATATAACCCTTCAACTCCACCCAGTAAGGGGCCCAATTTACTATTACAGATGAGTCTTCCTTGAATTCAATTTAAGATACATCAGACAGTTGGGGCATTTGCAGGGAGGGGGATTATGCAGGCATTGACAAGGAGAATTAGCAGGTGACTTCCATAGCAGATAAAGAGAAGTCATTACCTGAGTAACGTTATCATCATTGGCAGTGTTGAATCTCCGCACTTCTCCAGAATATTGGATGCTGTGCTCCAGGGCAGAAGGCTGTTGTTCCGGAGCACCAAAGCTGTTGGGGTAGTAATTTGGAGCACCACCTTCAAAACAAAACCACCCAGATGCACTTAGGAATAAGAAAAGTCAAGTAAGTCTGCAAATAATCACTGTGATGAGAAATAAATTCAAGTGGTAATCAAATACACACGTACACATACACAGATATAAACACAACGCACACATATTATTTTTAATTTCCCGCATTTAGCTACAGGTAGTATGAAGATTCTTAGGGAACGCTGCCATCTGCTAAATGCTTGCACAGGCTGCCGCACTTTATGAATGAATCTCAAAGTCCCTTTTGACACTTCAAAGGGTCTCATCTATCAAGTCTTCTGAGGGGTACAGCACATGTAGAAGTTTATACAGGCTTGATTTGGCCACCATATAGGGATGAGGCTCAAAGACACATTTCAAAATTGACTTGAAAAATTGTGTCATTTGGACTTGGGCTCAATTCAAACACTGCATCACAAAATTCTTGAGGGAAATCTGAAAGTTCTGGTTCTGCTCCTTGAATCTACAGACACAAGCATGGAGCTCTGTGATGGGACCTGACTGCTGCAAGGTCACACGGTAGCCAGTGGTAGATATGGGGTTGGAACTCTGGGTTTTTTGTCTCCTCCAGCCCAGCATATACAGTATTTCCATTACAGAACTCTACTTTGCTATTCCGTAAAGTGTTTTTAGGATTCTCAGGGTATCTCTCCTTTACTGACAATGATGACTTTGTTCCATTGTAGCTTCACTTTCATACCCTCCACAGACCAATAAACAAAGAATTTTTTAAAATGTGGTAATTGTATATCAGCACTTACTTATCTGGACTTATAAGAAACAGTGACAAATACAATCAAAATATTTTCTATGACTTTTGAAATAAATTATAAGGCTTTTTTTTCGTTTTAGCATATTTATTTTCTCAACTATGCTTTGGCTGACATTAGCAGAAGCTTTCATTACCCGAGCACACACTGCCTAAACAGGAGTGGCCCAGAAACATATTAAGTGGTTTGAGCAAACCAATCTGGGGTTGGAATTTTAGCCAGCTCACTGCCGTAATAGATTATCCACAGTGGATAATCAAGAGGTGCCTATGTATGACATTCATCAAGACACCAAGTGTGTGTGTAGGGGAAGGAAGAACACCATACTATTATAGAGCCCAATTATTCACTCAACAAATTCAACAGATCAGTCACATCTACATGAAAAGCAAAATGCTCCAAAAACCAGCCATCACAGTGTTTTCTTCATTAAGAACTAGCTCTTTGAAATGTGCCTAGTTAATTTTTAAAATCCTACTTCCAAATGAGCCCTGACCTTTACTCAAAGTGGTAGTTGTCTTTAAAGCACTGACCACAGGAACAATTAAGCTCTTTCACTGAGCTTCAGGGTCACAGCCCAAATGCTCTACTTTTACAATCAAGCCAGGCGCGGTGGCTCATGCCTGTAATCTCAGCACTTTGGGGGGCCAAAGTGGGTGGGTCACCTGAGGTCAAGAGTTCAGGACCAGCCTGGCCAATGAAACCCTGTCTCTACTAAAAATACAAAAATTAGCTGGCGTGGTGGCACACTCCTATACTTCCAGCTACTCGGGAGGCTGAGGCATGAGAATCTCTTGAACCCAGAGGCAGAGGCTGCAGTGAGCCAAGATCATGCACTGCACTCCAGCCTGGGCAACAGAGTGAGACTCTGTCTAAAAAATAAATAAATAGATAAATAAATATAGCAAAATGTAATAGCTATGACCTTTGGGTGTTGGGACTATATGGGAATTTTTCTTTTTTCTTCTTTTTCCTATATATTCCAAATTTTCTTTAGGACACTTGTATTATTTTTATCATAGAAAAATAAACTTTGTTTGAATATAGACATCTGTGGCTATAAATATAAATCATCAGTAAAATTTCTAAAGGGATCAATGCATGCAGTCTATATTACTAAAACACGTGTCCTAAATGGGAAAAGAAAATAACTAAGATCTATATTAAACTGTGGAATAGTAAAAGGAAAAAACTTTAATCAAGCATTCTGCTTGACTTATTAGAAAAAGTAATTAGAACCAGAGGCTGTTTGTATACGACACCAAAAAAAAAGTAGTTAAAAGAAAAAGATCCTAAGTTTGATAAATGAGTTCCAAAAAACAAAAAGTGGTAAGTTGATTCACCTAACTTTATTCACTTAGGAAAAAATGAAGGGAGGGGAATCCTTTGACTTGCTCTGCCTCCCCTACTCTCTTCTCCCCAGCCTTCCCTGCTAATTCTAGCTCCCCTCCAAATTCTAGCTAGACCTGCTCCTCCAGGGCCACAGCAGAACTGCAAAGAGAAACAGAAGACTCCAACTCTTGGCTTTCGCACTTCCAAGGGTCTAAGTCTTGGTGATTTCACAGTGAGTTAAGGAATTGTCCATTTTGGTGAAGTGTCTTCAAAACCTAACTCCCAAGCTGGATGTTACTGTACTCTAGCCAGTGTGAAAGATCTTTCTCCCTGCTTTTAACTACTGGATACAAGTAACATCTGAGGTGGAAATGCTCAATAAAATATATAAAATAGATAAAAAGCATGGAGAGTCCTCAGGCAGCCTAAATCTTCACTGCTGGGCAAAAAAGCGCCCAGTTAGCAGCACCTGGGGAGCACCTTTACCAAGCAGGAGGTCCTGCGGGGCCAGCTTGAGAGCCACTGGCCTGGCCTCCCGCCCATCTGCTCCACGTGCCCTCTGCCCACGCAGGGGGAGCCCAACGTCTTTAGGCCTACCCTGATTGTCCTGCATGCACATCGGGCCGTCACGCTGGTAGTTGGCCACTCGAGCACGGTAGGGACAGTTCACAGGTATATGAAGATAATTGGGTCCCAGGCGATGGCGGTGAGTGTCAGGATAGGCAAAAAGGCGGCCCTGCAGTAATAAATACAATAGACACTGACTAGGGGCAGTAACATATAACATAGGAATGGGCTGTAAACTTCATTCTGAAATTTGAAGTACAAAGCACTCTGTACATGGTTACCACAAAATTCTGCCTTTCCCGCTACTTAAGAGTGAAGCCTCTACTCTTATGAAACGAGTTCTCCCTAACTGAACAGTTCTGAATTTCCCAGGCCCTCTGGCCAACCATAAATCTTCACATCTGTTTTTGGTAATAATATCTTTTTTTTTTCCTTCTGCATAACAAGTTAGTGTCTTGTCTTATACAGTATTACTTCCTATTCCCAAGGAAGTATTGCATTATAAAATAAATGTGCTAGAACGTTAACTAACTGAAATATTGAATTAATTCTATTCCTCCTCATTCCCCCACTCCAGGGAAGGAACCAATCATTTGCTCTTTACAAAAAGCAACACATTTCTACAAAACCAACAGCATGGGAAATTCTTCAAATAAGCACTTCCAACTGGGCACAGTGGCCCATGCCTATTATAATCCCAGCACTCTGGAAGGCCAAGGTGAGAGGATCGCTTGGGCCCAGGAGTTTGAGACCAGCCTGGGCAACACAGCGAGACCTGTCTCTACAAAAAAAAAAATTAAAACATTAGCCGAGCATGGTGGCATGTGCCTGTAGTCCCAGCTACTCCAACAGGCTGAAGTGGGAGGACTGCTTGGCCCAGGGGATTGAGGCAGCAGTGAGCTGCAATCGTGTCACTGCAATCCAGCCTGGGCAACAAAGCAAGATCAGAAAAAAAAAAAAAAAAAAAAAAAAAGTACCGCCCACTCCCATGCTGCCTTCTGAATTATCTCAGAAACACTTTGAGCTCTGAGACTTTCTAGATATAAACAACAATAACAAAAAATCTGTGGTTCAAAATGAAAGCCCTACAATGCCAAAGGTAATCAATCTAAGATTAAATTATGTTCCATGTTAATCAAGGCAAAGATGGCAAGCATCTTGAAATTTCTTTCAGTTAATGCTCAAACAAAAGCTTTATGATAAATTCTGCATTAATCTTAATATCTAATTATTGAACTATTCTCATTATTCATACTCCTTTTCTATGAGCAATTTTTCTTCCATTGAATTTATCATTGGCCTTGAACCTTAAAAGTATTTTTATATCCCTAATTCTATGAGGCAAAATAAAAACCAAATTGAATAGGGCAACTTAAGCAATAACTTTGTTCCAAATCACTGATACCAACAGACTTAATCCAGTCCCAGTGTTCTGTCAATATTTTGCTTTTGGCTGAATGACTCCCTCTTATCATCATTTCAAATAGCCTAAGGTCATATTTAGATGACTAGCCATGCGGCCATGACCAAAACTCAGCTATAGGTTGGAAGCTGGTTGTCTCCTTTGGCTCAAAAAGTTGTGCTCTTGACTCCATCAACAGGATAGGAGATACAATCCTGCCATGGGCAGCTCCTGGATGTAGCCTCTATCACCTAATTCTGATTTTGTGTCACCCTGTGTTTATCAGGCAACCTTACCCCACCTATGGGTGGAGACCAACAAAGGTTGGGAAATGGGCACAGTGAGGCCATACCCTGACACCAGCTTGAATCTAGGCCTTCCCCAAGGCCCTGTGCCTGAACTCCCTTGCTGGACCTGCGTGAGTGGGAAAGCCTTTCCCACCCAAGCAACCGGCCCAACTTCTCCAACTCTTGGCAAAATGCAGAGAATGAGAGCAAGAAAGGCTGCACCTGTGTCCTCAGGTACTCAGGGGACAGGACAGTCTCTCTATGACTTGTATTATATTATTTGTCCATTTCACCATGGTGTGGCTCACCACTTTGGATAAAGTTATAAAACTTAATAACATGACCTTGTTAAAAGGCACCTGTAAACACTGCCCATTAATATATCAACCGCCACTGCCTAGGCTACAATACTCATGAGCTCTCAGCAGGAATAACCCCAAAGCCCCCCTAACTGGCTTTCCACTTCCTGTCCAACAAGACAATCTACATATTCCCTACTCACCTACTCAAAAAATCTCAAATCATTCCTTAATGGTCACCAAATGGCTAAATGAGTACAACAGTCCTTCCCCAACTGTATGGCTCCTCACAGGCTCCATGGTATTGGAACTGATAGCTAAATGACCTAAGAAGGATGGGGGAAAGCTAGGCTAGAAACAATAACTCGACAAACTTATGAAAGCTCTTTCGAACAGTTTCTAAAACTCATTTAAAAAAAAAACAACCTATAAAGAGTACACTGAATTTAAAATAGATATATTTGCCAGAACTAAAATTAATACTAACAGAAATTATATTACTTTCTACTTGTCATCCTTTTTCAGAACTCTCTTCCCCACTGTTTGAATAGCTGCCTTAGACATTTGCTTTCTTAGGAATGTAGAGAATACGTATTTGCTTTGCAGTCCTTTTCCCGGGGGCCTAGTTCTCCATTCAAATCTTCATTGTTCTTCAAATTATATGACTCAGTGCTGCTGACTGCCTCACGGTCCCACTGTGGTTCCAGAGACCCATGGTGACTTGGATTCTTGTGAAAAGAGTTTAGGTAACCTTGTATTCCTCAATCCGTTCCCTCCCTGGGTAACCAGGGTTATGCAGCCTCTGCTCTGCCCATGACAATTTCATGCCTTGGCAAATCCCATTAGCCTCATCCTCTCACAGTTCAGCCACCAGGTAGGGAGTTTTAGGGCCCAGGATTACCTTGTTTTGGCTTCCTCTACTCCCTGGTTTCAATGCAAACTTCTGCTTTTCCTCTGAGAACTGCCTGACTTTCCTTTTGCTATTCCCAATCCCTAGTTGTCGCTTTTTCTATTTATCACCAAGAGGAGTGATTCTACTCAATATATCCCAGACCACACTTCTCAAAACTGAAGAAAGCTTTTCACTCCTACTCAAGCATTTAAGGTCCCCTCTGACATATACTCAATGAACCTACCCAAACTCTATTCTTCTCATTCAGGAGAGAGTGACTGTTTATAGTTTCAACACACCTAACATGTCCCACCTTTGTGCCTATACTCATGTCCTTCTCCTGCCGCATTTTACCTACTAAAAATCAAAATCCTATCTATTCTTCAAAACAATCTCAAATGCTACCTCGTTCATGAAACTTCGTGGCTGACCTCCTATCAGACAAAATTTTGCTTTCTGGATCACCATGGCATTCTGCCTTACATTATGGCACCCAAGACAGTCCACCATACACAACAGACAGGTACTCAATTTGTAACAGTTGAATTGGACTAAAAACTAATGAAAAACTTACTTTCTATAAAAGCCTCAGATGTTCCCCAATGTCATAAGCAAAAAAGTTATTTTTTAAAAACGGAATCTTAGCTTGTCCTCCATGCAGACTGAAACCTGAACTGGAATCAGATACTTACATAAGAAGTAACCTTCAGTCGCTGTGGTCTGATTTAGGGTACAATCTTTAACCTTTGTTTCAAGGTCACAGTCTAAAACCACAAAAGATTGATTTATACAGTAATTATTAAGCCAATTATTTTCTTACTGATTCTGATCCAAAGTACAATTTTTCACTCTTGGTACTCTTGAAAGAGATATTAAAAAGTGATGTAAAACATACTGATGGCTTAACATTAGCAAGGTGAATGGTTAATCCACTGCTTTTATCACTGGCAGCATACATGTAGTTCATAAAGATCATCCCTAGATCTCTTTTTACAAATGGAAAAATTCAAGCATCACCATGAAACAGAAAATGAGGCCAGCCACGGTGGCTCACGCCTATAATCCAGCACTTTGGGAGGCGGAGGCAGGCAGATCACTTGAGGTCAGGAGTTTGAGACCAGCCTGGCCAACAGGGTGAAACCCCGTCTCTACTAAAAATACAAAAATTAGCTGGGCATGGTGGCGGGCGCCTGTAGCTAATCAAGAGGCTGAGGCAGGAGGATCGCTTGAACCTGGGAGGCGGAGGTTGCAGTGAGCCGAGATCATGCCACTGCACTCCAGCCTGGGCGACAGAGCAAGACTCTGTCACAAAAAAAAAAAAAAAAAAAAAAAAAAGAACAAGAAAATAAAGTTAGGCTTACCAAGGTATTATAATTAATTAACCATACTTCAGCTACAGACAGAACAAACCATGCTTCACTCTATCAATACTTAAGGTATTTCTATTATGTCTTTTTTTTTTAATTAAGAGAGTAAGTATTCTTGTCTTCACATATGTAGGGATCTTACCATGGACTTTTGTTTATACTTGGTTTACTCAAGGAATGCTCATTGAAGAATAGTTCACCTCAGTGAATCCCACAAGGTAACCAAGCACCCAGATTAAAGTTTAAGTAATGTTCTTGTTAATTCCTCACATAAAGATCATGCCAAGCTGCATATTTTGTGTGTGCATGCTCACATGGACACCTGCCTCAGAACATCTCAATCCACCAGGCTCACCTGAAGCATTTTGTCAGGACTGGCCTCAATGCCAGGTGGCATGTTGCTTGGGTCGAAGGCTATCTGTTCAACCTCAGCAAAGTAATTAACTGGATTCCGGTTTAAGACCAGTTTACCAACTGGGATGAGAGGGTAGTCCTTGTGAGGCCAAACCTGAAAATGATGTCATATTCACAATTACCAGGCAATCAACTGAAGGAAATCAAAGCTACCCACAAAAATACCAGATTTCAAATACAATCAAGCCAATGAAAATAATTTTTAAATCCAATAAAACATAAGAATTTAAGATGAGTGCCTTAGTTAAATCTTTCACAATAGTAAGTGGTAAATACTGACAGTTTCCCCAGGAAAAAGTACATCAGCTTTTCATAATCTGTTCCCTGTTAATAACAATATATGAAGCCACATACACATACTCAATGAAATGACAAACAGGAACGTGGAAGTAAGATGCTGGTAAGCACTCATTCACAGCTTAGGACACTCTGAAGTGGTACCCTCTGTATTTTGTATATGACTTCCCCATTATTATAATTGTTTGACTAGATTTTTTTTCTAATTAGGTAAGAAGAGACTTAAAAAAGAAAACAATATAGTTGTTTACTGACTCACCTTGGTGAGATCGAATGGATTAAATGGAAAAGTTTCTGCCTGATTAAATGTCATGACCTGGATGTAAAAAGTCCAGGAGGGGTACTTTCCTGTGGCAATGGCGTTAAAAAGATCCCGGATGCCATAGTCAGGATCTTCCTGGGAAAGTCTCGCCGCATCTTCAACAGAAAGGTTTTTGATGCCCTGGTCAGTCTACAAAATGAAAGAAAGAAGCTCCAATGGAAACTTATTGTCAAAGTTATCAAAATTTCATCAGTAATTCATTGAAGGATTATGAGTAACACTGCCCAAAGAATGAACTTTCTTTACAACAATACTTCTATTGTTCAAATCTGATACTAATGAATTTATCAACAAGAAATTCTACTTGATTATCCCAATACTTTTAAATGTCAAGGGAATCCCATCTACACATTTCATATTTAAAATCAGTCCTATCTTTCCCTTTATGTATTCTATTATTTGAATTTTTACACTCATGTTACTTTCCAAATCAGAAAAATCAAAATATACTTAAAAGTAGGCAAAAGATTAATAAAATTAAAGGACTACTTGCCTTTTATCATGAAGTAATGTTTTAATTCCATTTCATGACAGCTCAAATCAATTACTGAGACTGTGCTCGGCCAGTATCCCTTCACCCCTGTCCTATTCCTTTTTTTTTTTTTTTTAATAAATCATAGAATCATAGCTCATAGAGTTGAAAAGAACTTCAGTACAGCCACCTGGAACTAGTTCTCTGACTATGAGCAGGCAAAATTAATATTCTGACTTTCCAAGCAAGACATTAAAACCCAGAGAAGCTGTGTCACTTCATAAGTGCTCCTGTTATCATATCATACTGTTCTTTGATGGACTGACCATGTGATCTTATTCTCAAAGACCTCCCAACAAGCCAAGTGCCGCAGAAAGATTTCCTTAGCAAAAATCAACTCTGAACGCTGGTCTATTTCTACCACAGAAATCCCAACTGTCTCATCAGTGAAAAGGTTTGAACTCTTACTACTGAACAAGAAGTAAAGCCACCTTCAGGATTAAAACAATGAAGGTCACCATGTACAGATCGCCCAAAGAGCTAATATATTAAGTAGTACAATAACACTGCAATACCTTTCTGATTTTAACTGAATCCTTTAGGTTTAGAAAAGAATAATCTTAGGTCAGAATAATCCAGACTGATGAATCCATGTAGATCTCAGGCTACCTTAGGGCCCTAGGATAAAAGACCCACAAGCAATCCAATCTTTCCAGGACTTGTATAGCTGGTAATATTATGCCAACTTCACAGTGAAAAGAACTGGAGCTCAAAGAACTTTTAATACTATGCCCAAGGCCACAATTATCTAGGAGAGTAGAAATTTGAGTTCAGGCTGGCATAACTCCAAGGCTACCAACTAGACTGGCTGTCCTAGATACAACCACTTAGTCTTATTCTAAGTAATACTACATTGACCCTTTTGGCAATTACAAGCCAATGGGTCAACTGTTTCATAAAATTTTTCCTTGTCAAATATTATAGATCCAAGTTATGAATATAAAAAGAGGTGATAGTTTTCCTGTTTGATATACCTACATTAAATTGTTCAGATAAAGAAGAAAGCAGGATAGAAGAAAATAGGGCTTTTGGATGTCACTAAGAGAGAGATTATCCAGTACTGGTCACGAGCCCACTTCTTTCTGCTTATCTTAGCAGCAGTATTTGGAAACAGAGGTTCTCAGGCTTGTTTCTGACTAGCCCTTGGGAGTTCTCTGGGAATATCACTAACATGCCAGGGTTCACTGGCAATATTGCTCATTGTAACAAATGCCATGCTTATACCAAAAGAGGGCCCTTTATAATATTTCAGTTGATTAAAACATTCTCAAAACCCTCCCCAGATGTAACTGATTTGATCTGGCTATATGAATGCAAATTTTTAAAAACAGTATAATTTTGTTTTCTGACATTTGTAATTGATTTTACTTATATGCCTTGTTCATAATAAAACCTCAATAAATGCTAAGTAAATAGATGGATGACTTAAAAAGTTAAAAGAAATGATATTGGAAAGACACTATTGGATGTTGGAAGTGATAATGAGATTGGGATACGCTCCAAGGTCCTCAGATGGTAGCCAACAAAATCAGTACTGATCAATGAGATCAATACTTCCCAACTTTGGGGATGGAGGTGAGGGAAAAGTGGGAGAAGCCTTAATCTTTGCTCAATCCTTCAGGAAAAATAAGGAGGTATGCGGTAGGAGCCTTGTACCCTCTGCCCCAA